>NC_000023.11:14561730-14864760 GCF_000001405.40 Homo sapiens
AACTGGGAAAAGTTAAGCTGACTTTACTGATTTTCCTCTTCTATTGCCTCTCTATCCTAGGTACCTACTCTGCAGCCCAAATAGAACATTTCTTCCTTGGCAGGAGCACAGAGTTTTATAATAGCCCTTTGATTGCCTTTAGTCCTTTGAATAGTTCTATTGTTATCATCTAACATATATATTGTTCAATAAGAATGTTTTAATTGAATTAATAAATGAAAAAATGTGGATCAGCATTTTCAAAGCTATGTTTTGCAGAATGCTTGCTATCTTTGAAATGTGTTCCACGAAAAGGATGGTCTATCTAAAAAACAAAAAAATCTATAGTCAAATAAGTTTGGGAAATAATGACACACACTATTTATTTTCAGGAACACCATAGTTCACATAGGTGTATTAAAGTTTTGGAGAAAGGGAGGGTGACATCAACAAAACGGCACAGTAGACAGCTCAAGCTCTCAAAAAGAGTAGAAACTGTCAGAACCAATTTTGTCAGAACTCTGGAAAACAGTCAAAAGTTTACAGCAACCAAATGTCCACAAAATCAAGAAAAAGGTAACTTCGAAATGGTAGGAAAGTTTTGTGGTATTCCCACTTGCCCTTGTCCCATTCCCTCCCTAGTATGGCAGTAGTTTTGGTTTAAAATTGGTAGCAGCCTACACTCCTAGTATGGGGCCCTGGTCCCTTGATCTGGAAGGAGTAGACCAAACCTTATTCACAAATTATTTTGTGTGTCTGTTCTAACCTTTCTATAGGCTACCAGAAGGACAAATGCAAGGAGTTTATATTTGTTTTCTAGGGCTACCATAACAAAATACCACAGACTGAGTGGTTTAAACAACAGAAATGTACTTTCTCACAGTTCTGAAGGCCAGAAGTCCAAAATCCAGATGTTGACAGGTTTGCTTTCTTTTGAGACTTCTCTCCCTGGCTTGTAGATATCTGCCTTCTCACTGCATTTTCACATGGTCGTTCCTCTGTGTAAACACATCCCTGGTGTCTCTTTTCTCCTTTTCTCATAAGGACACCAGTCATATCAGATTAGGGGCCAACCCTCACTTAAACTTAACTAACCCTTTATAGACCTTATCTCCAAATATGGTTACATTTTGAGGTACTGAGGGTTAAGGCATATGAATGTGGGGGGGACACAATTCAGCCTATGACAATGCTCATCTCTGTTTTTACCTAACTCAGGATGGAAAGGCAGTGAGTATTAATTAAAAAAATACTGCAAGTCAAACTAAAAATCTTAAAGGGCAAAATATTACAATTGAAATATACAATAGACCATCTAAAAGCTTGGAAGTGAAACTTAGAGTTTCTTAGGGAAATTAGGACATTCAAAATCGACCATGCATATGGCAAATTTAGAAAGCCACTGCATTTTCAGGGAAATATGTGTGCTCAGAAAAGACCCGAGCAAACCCTTAGCTTTCACCTTGGGCTGATCCCTAGATTCAGTTCAAGCCCAGCTAGTTGTTGAAGGGCTCTGGCATAGAGCCAATCTGCAAAGACTGGGAGAGTTATGTTTTGTTTGCTTGGTTGGTTGGTTGGTTGATTGGTTGCTTTGTATTTTGGCCCCAGATACTCAAGAAAATCTCTCATAAAATTCTAGTTGAACACAGGCTGAGAAACAAAGACTATAGTGACCACACATGAGAAGGAATATTACAGTCTTCGCAGAAATAGTTTTGGAAAGTCACTAAGCAAATGGCCTACTATACCCTTCAACAGTCAAAACATTCAGCAAATTCTAGAGAAGGTAGATAATTTTCAGTTACTACAGTATGATAAATATACAGTTTTCAACAAAAATCACAATGCATAAAAAGTAACAAGAAAGTATTGGCCAATTCAAAGGAACAAAATAAATTGATAGAAATTATCCCTGAGGAAGTTCAGACACTGGGCTTACTAAACAAGGACTTTAAAACAACTGTCTTAAATATGCTCAAAGATCTAAAGGAAAACAAAGACAAAGAATGAAAGGAAATCAGGAATATTATGTAGGAATAAAATGAGAATATCAATAAAGAAATATAAATTGTAAAAAAAATTCTGTATCTGAAAGGTAAAACAGAAATTGAAAATTCACTAGGGTAGTTTAACAGTAGGTTTGAGCAGGCAGAA
This sequence comes from Homo sapiens, assembly GCF_000001405.40. NCBI lineage: Eukaryota > Metazoa > Chordata > Mammalia > Primates > Hominidae > Homo > Homo sapiens. The sequence continues at coordinate 14,563,864 of NC_000023.11, forward strand.
GAAAGAATCAGTTAATGAAGATAGGAAAACTGAAATTGTCAATTCTGAGGAGCAGAAAGAAAAAAGAATAAGTGAAAGTAAACAGAGCCTAGGATACCAATGGGAACCCATCAAATAGACCAATATACACATTCTAGAAGTTCCAGAAGAATAAAGAGTGGAAAGAATATATGAATAAAAAAATTTTGAGAAATAACAGTTCCCACATTTTATGAAATATGTAAATCTACAAATCCAAGAAGCACAATAAGTTCCAAGTAGGGTAAACCCAAAGAGATCCACACTGAGACATATTATAATCAAACTGTCGAAAGCCAAAAACAATGAGGACACTGTAATAACAGCAAGAGAAAAACAACTCATTACATACATGGGATCCCTAGTAAGACTATCAACTGGTTTCTCAGTGGAAACCATAAGGGCCAGAAGACAATGGGATGATATATTTAAAGTGCTGAGAGAAAAAAAAAAACTGTAACTGAAAGTTTATATCCAGCAAAACTGTCCTCAACAAATGAGGGAGAAATTAAGACATTACTAGACCAGCAAAAGCTGAGGGAGTTCATTACCACTTGGCCTACGAGAAATGATAAAGGGAGTCCTTCAAGCTGAAATAAAAGGATGCTAAACAGTAAGTAGAAGTCTTATGAATAAATAAAGATCTCCAGTAAAGGTAAATGTATGGGCAAATGTAAAAACACTATTATTGTATTTGGAGTTTATAACTGCACTTTTATGTCCTACAGGACTTGGAAAGACAAATGCATAAAAAATTATTAGTTGATTTTATTGTGCATTCAATAAAAAGATATAATCTGCAACAACAAAAACATAAAGGAGAGAGAATGGTGTTGTATAAGAGTGGAGCTATCGTATGTTATTGAAGTTAAGTTGGTATCAGAGAGAATGGTGTTGTATAAGAGTGGAGCTATCATATGTTATTGAAGTTAAGTTGGTATCATTTCTGACTAGGTTGTTATAAATCTAGGTTGTTAAATGTAATTCCCATGGTAATCACAAAGAAAATATGTGAAAAGTTAACACAAAAGGAAATGAAAAGAAAATCCAAATGGTTCACTACAAAAAAAATCAACTAAACATAAAAGAGGTCATAATAGAGGAAATGAAAGAAAATCCAAATGGTTCACTACAAAAAAAATCAACTAAACATAAAAGAGGTCATAATAGAGGAAATGTAGGACATAAAAAGCTATGAGATATTCAAAAAACAAAATGATAGAAGTAAGTCCTTGCTTATCAGTAATTACTTTAAATGTAAATGGATTAAACACCCTAATCAAAAGACATATACTGGCAGAATGGATAAAACAAACCATGATTCAACTATATGCTATCTACAAGAGACTCACTTTAGTTTCAAAGTCACAAGTAGGCTAACAGCAGAAGAATTGAAAAAGATATTCCATGAAATAGTAACCAAAAGAAAGCTGAGGTGGTATACTAATGTTAGACAAAATAGATTTTAAGTCAAAAATTGTTAAAAGAGACAAAGAATGACATTATATATGGAGAGAGATCTCTAAAGATGTTCTATTTATTATTAAAAATGGTATGTTGAAGTCTCCAACTATTACTGTAGAAATGTTTATTTCTCTCATCATTTTGGTCAATATCTGCTTTATATATTTTGGAGCTCTGTTTGGTGCATATGTGTTTAGAATTATTATATCTTAATGAGTTGACCATTTTATCAATATATAATATAATTGTTTTCAGGCCACTAAACAAGCCTCAGTAAGTTTTAAAGTATTAAAATAATAAAATGTATCTTTTCCCACTATAGTGGAATGAAGCTAAAATCAATAACAGAAGAAAAACTGGAAAATTCAGAAATATTTGGAAATAATACCGTCTTAATAAATCAAAGAAGAAATCACAAGGGACATAAGAGGTGAATGAAAACAAAAACACAACGTACCAAAACTTATGGGATACAGTGAAGGCAGTGCTTAGAGGAAAATGTATAATATAAATGCCTACACTTAAAAGAAGAACAATCTCAAATCAACATAAATTTACACCTTGAAGAACTAGAATAAGAAGAGCAAACTAAACCCAAAGTTATCAGAGAAAGTAAATAATAAAGATTAGAGGGGAGGAAGACAGAGAATAGAAAAAGAGTTGCAGAATAAACGAAACCAGAAGTTTGTTCTTTCAAATATCAGCCAAATTGATAAACATTTACCTAGACTGACGAAGAAAAAAAGAGGACTCAACCAAAATCAGAAATGAAAATGGAGTCATTGCTATTGACCTTACAGAAATAAAAAGAACTTTAAGAGAAGATTACGAATAATTTAGATAACCTAGATGAAATGAACAAATAAGTAAAAACACACAATTTACCTACACTGATTGAAGATGAAATTAAAAATCTCAACAAACATATAACAAGTAAAGAGATTGAATCAGCAATCAGAAACCTCACAACAAAGAAAAGTTCAAGACCAGATGGCTTCACTGGTGAATTCTAGCACACATTTTAAAGAAAAATTAACATGAATCTTCAAACTCTTCTAAGAAGTAGGCAAGGAGGAAACACTTGTTAACTCATTCTATGAGTCCAGCATTACTCTAATACCAAAGTCAGATAAAATCGCCACAAGAAAAGAAAATCACAGACCAATATCCCTTTGTAGTGAGTGCTTGTAATTGTATGTTGTCTTGGCATCCATTTTATATGTAAGTTTAACTCTCTCATGCCAGAAACAGGGCTCAGTCACCCTTGACATAGTCTCATATTCTTCTTCCCACCTGAATGGTAGCCAGAGGTAAAACTTAGAGGCATCTCTCCTGCCTAGCAGGGAGGACTCCCTGCTTTCCTGCTACGTCCTTTAAAGAGACCATTCAGACATTTGCCTGCAAACTTAAAGTGATCACCTCTCAGTTACAAAATGACCACTTGAAACGATTGCCTGCTCACTTTAAAACCACCAATTAAAGCCCCCCAGTGGGAAGCCTGTTTAGATAACACCCTAGACTGAATAAAAGCATTGGCCCATGGGTCCCTTCTCTCTCTCTCTGCCTGTGCACCCTGACCTCTACATGTGTGCAGTCTCTGGGCATGCTGTGTACCCTCCAGGGTACATAAGTAGTAAAAACTCTTAAACTTTCACGTTGTGGTTGCGTCATTAAAGCTGTTCTTGCAATCTGACCCCTGACAGTGAGGCAGCCCCAAAGCGTACAGATGTGGATTGCCTCTGCTGGTGCTCTTTTGTCCAAGTCTCTTAGCTGCTGGGGGACAGTAGTTAACAGCTAGGTTGATAGAGTTTCATTCAAAACACCCTTATGAAGATGTATTTAAAAATCCTTGACAAAATATTAGCAAACCATATCCAACAGCACAGTAAAAGGATTACACATCATGACCAATTGAGATTTATTCCAGAAATGCAAAGATGGTTCAATATAAGGAAACAAATTAAAGTAATATACCACATTAATAGAATGAAGGAGAAAAACACACGATCACCTCAACTGATGCAGAAAAGGCATTTGGCAAAATTCCAACATCCTTTAATGATTTTTAAAAACACTCAGAAAACTAGAAATAGAAGAACACTTCCTCAATATGATAAAGGGAATTTATTAAAACTCACAATTAACAACATGATCCAACTATAGGCCATCTACAACAGGCATACTGAAGGGTGAAAGATTGAAAGCTTTTCCTTCTAAGAAGATCAGAAATAAGACAATACCTGCCTTCACCACTGCTATTTGGCATTGTATTGGAAGTTTTATCCAGAGCAATTAGACAAGAAAAATAAATGAAAGGCATCCAAACTTGAAAGGAGGAAGTATATCTTTACTCACAAATGACACAGTCCTACGTATAGAAAACCCCAAAGAATCCAAAAGAAAATTACTAGAGCTAATAAATTCAGTGAAGTTGTAGCATACAAAATGAACACACAAAAATCAGTTGTTTCTGTACACCTGCAATAAACAATTTGACAAGAAAGTTAGAAAAAAAGCACCTCCATTTATAATAGTATGTAAAAGAATAAAATACCTAAAAATAAGTTAACCAAACATGTGAAAGTTTTGTACACTGAAAACTACAAAACATTGCTGAAAAAATCAAAGAAGACCTAAATAAATGGAAAAACATCCCTTATTAAGTCATGAGTAGGAAGACAATATATTTAAGGTGTCAATACTACCCAAAGTTATCTACAGATTCAATGCAATCCCTATCAAAATTCCAACAGCCTTTTTTGGCAGAAGTGGAAAACTCAATCCTCAACTTCATATTAAATTGCAAGGGGCCCTGAATAGTCAAAATAACCTTGAAAATGAAGAACAAAGCGGAAGGACTCACAATTCCTAACTTCAAAACTTAATACAAAACCACATTATCAAAACAGTGTCATACTGGCATAAGGATAAATATGTTGACCAATAGAATAAAATTGATAGTTCAGAAATAAACCCACACACCTATGGCCAGTTGATTTTGACAGGGTTGGCAAGTCCATTTAATGAGGAAAAACCAGTCTCCTCAAGAAATAGTGCTGGGACTCAGCCGGGCATGGTGGCTCATGCCTGTAATCCCAGCACTTTGGGAGGCCGAGTTGGGCAGATTACCTGAAGTCAGGAGTTCGAGACCAACCTGACCAACATGGTGAAACCCCATCTTTACTAAAAATACAAAAATTAGCCGGGCGTGGTGGCACATGCCTGTAATCCCAGCTACTCGGGGGGCTGAGGGAAGATAATTGCTTGTGCCTGGGAGGCGGAGGTTGCAGTGAGCCGAGATTGTGCCACTGCACTCCAGCCTGGCCAACAGAGCAAGACTCTGTCTCAAAAAAAAAAAAAAAAAGAAAAGAAAAAAAAGAAATAGTGCTGGCACAACTGAATTTCCACATGCAAAACAATGAAGTTGGACCTCTCTCATACCATATACAAAAATTATCTCAAAATGAATCAATTACCTAAATGTAAGCGTTAAAACCAAAAAGCTGCTTTTTAAAATATAGGGGTAAACGTTCATTACCTTGGATTTGGCAATTGATCCTTGGATATGAAACCAAAGCATAAGAAACAAAAGAAAAAATAGGTAAATTAAACTTTATCAAAACTAAAGGCCAAGTGTGGTGGCTCATGCCTGTAATCCCAGCACTTTGGGAGGCTGAGGCAGGCAGATCCCTTGAGGTCAGGAGTTTCAGACCAGCCTGGCCAACATGGTAAAACCCTGCCCCTACTAAAAATACAAAAATTAGCCAGGCATGATGGTGGGTGCCTGTAATCCCAGCTACTCAGGAGGCTGAGGTAGGAGAATCACTTGAACCTGGGAGGCAGAGGTTGCAGTGAGCCAAGACTGTGCCACTGCACTCCAGCTTGGGTGAAAGAGTAAGACCCCATCTCAAAAAAGAAAAAAACAAACAAACAAAAAAAGCCACAACCCTAAAAACTTTTATGCATCAAAGGACATTATGAAGAAAGTGAAAAAACAATAAAGAAAATATTTGTAAATCATGTCTGAGGAGGGTTTAATATCCAGAACATGTAAAGAACTACAATTCAATAAAATGACAAAATACCCAATTCAAAAATGGGTAAAGGGCTTGAAGAGATATTTATCCAAAGAAAATATACAAATAGCCAGTAAGTACATGAAAAGATGCTCAATGTCATTACTCATTAGGGGAATGTAAATCAAAACCACAATGATATACCATTTCACACCTCCTAAGATGGCAATAATTTTAAAAATGGAAAATAAGTGTTGACACAGATGTGGAGAAATTGGAACTCTCACACATTGCTTGTGACAAAATGGTGCAGATGCTATGGTAAACAGTTTGGCAGTTCTTCAAAATGCTAAACGTGAAATTATCTTATGACCCAGCAATTCCACTTCTTAGTATATATCCAAAAGAATTAAAAGCAGGGACTCAAACCTACTTGTGTGTAAATATTCATTGCAGCATTATTCATAATAGTCAAAAAGATGAGAACAATCTGAAGTGTTCATTAACAGATGAATAATGTTTTATACATACATACAATGGAATATTTTTCCACCATGAAAAGGAAAGAAATTCTGATACATGCTACAACATGGATGAACCTTGAAAATATTATGCTATAAAAGAAATCAGTCACAAAGGACAAATATTATACGGTTCCACTTACATTAAATATCCTAAATAGAGAAATTCATAGGGACATAAAGTAGATTAGAGGTTACCAGAAGTGGCAGGGAGGGGAAAGGAAAAGTTATCTCTTAATGGTTACAGAGTTGTTATTTGGTGTGATTGAAAAGTTTTGGAAACAGACTGGTAATGGTTGCACAATATTGTGAATGCAGTTAATGCCACTGAATATAGTTTAAATATATATTTATATAAAACAAATAACATGTGTTATAATACATAATACACACACATATGTATATAAAACACCACGATTTAAAAACAATAAAATGCTTTGGGAAAATCTACATTAAAGAAACTACATAACTATTCAACAGTGCTTTCCAAACTTGTTTGACCTTGGAAGTTTTAAAAATGGACTACAGTTAACATTTCCAAGGACATTTATGAAAGATAGAAACAAAGTACAAGTGATCATAATTTTGAAAGGGAGAAAGATGGTCTGCAGTAACAAGTCCCCCTTGTTAAAGTGCAGACTGCTTCAGCAGGGCTCAGATGGGGCCTGAGATTTGGCATTTCCAACAAACTCCTAGGTGATGCTGATGCTGCTGGTCCTCAGCCCACAGTTTGAGTAGCAGGGGATATAATAGTACTATATATGAAGAATAGCACTATTCTTCATGATCCTGTTCCCTACCATAGCCAATTTGATCAACTGATCTGAAAGCAAAGATGTTAATGGATAATAATCAATAATTTATTATGTCTCCAATGTAGCATAGTTATAATTTTACATGGGTTTCTAAGACAAATACCTTATTCCAAAGAAGATACTCTGAGAAAGTGATATATAGCAACAAAGAAGATCAATATGGGATGGGGATTGTCATACTTGGTGCTGGGGGCAGATGAGGTGGAATTATTTTTTCAAATACATTTAAAGTATGCCAGATCTATATCTTACTTCCATTTATATTTGGATTGCATACTTGAATTATGGCCAGGCCACTCTTTCTCATAAGAATAAGAGAAAAAGGAAAAATGAGAGCAAGAGAGAAAGGGAAGGGGGGAGCAGGAAGAAGAGGGAAGAAGGGAAATAGGAGACAAGGAAGGAACGAAGGATAGGAATGATAGTGCCATGAAAAACTAGATGTTTACATAATTCTTTTCAACAGTCAGATTCTCATTCAACTCATTTTTGAATATCATCACTTTGCTGATAAATCAATTAGATGGGGTTAACTAGTGTAAAATATTTCCTTCTGTAGTTTACAGAGCACATTCATTCACTGGTGATCACATCTAAGAACATGTCCCTGTCAATCAGAACACCTGAGCAGACTATTGTGCTAAATGCAGATGAAAGGTTGTGCTGACACATGCTAGGATAACTCCTAAAAGTGGGGAAAAAAACAGTTATCTACAATTCAACCCAAAGAACTTGCAGGTCAACTTCCATATTTAGGTAGCTTATATCACTAGGATAATTGTATTGGCCTCAGGCATTTTACCCCTGCAGTTAAGAAAAATATCCTTAAAGTTAGGCAATTTCTGCCTCTTATAAACTCTGCGACCTTGAGAAAATTAATGATCTTTATGCCTCAATTTTTCTTATCTGAGAAATGGAGGTGATGATAATTATTGAAGAATGAAATAATACATTCACTGGCACACAGCAAGGTTCAAATATATGTCAGTTCTTAGTATATGCGTGTGCTAATCCCTCATCAAAAAACTTTTTTTCTTTCTAAGGTTTTATATAGAAATGCAAATGAACCTTGAACCAAAAAAAAGTGCCCAAAATTGAAAAAGTCAGATGTAAAGGATTAAGAAAGGTACAAACCAATGTAAAATACCATGGTTAGCAGGCCAGGAGGGCAACAGGATATTATGAAATGAGGGAAGTGCAACAAAAAGGTTGAAAGTTTAGGTTTTTGGAATCAGAATGATGAGACACTGACTCTCAGCTTTTCTAATTACTGTGATGGGACTTCAAGCAATTTAACCTCTCTAACACCATGTTTTCTCATCTGTAAACATTTACTAGAGCAATAAACAGATTCGTCTTTTGTGAGGATTACACTAGATAATTTTTACATGCACTTAGCACAGTGCAGCAATATATGGTAACTTAAAAATTATTTTGACTTCCAGCAACATACTCATAATGCCACTTATCAGGAAAGATAAAAACGAATATATAATGGTATGACCCAGCTTTCTAAATGCTTCCAAGCCAGTTGGGTAGGCTAGAGAAGCAGAAAATGTACAAGACAACCAATGTTTAAATTTTCAAATTTATGCTTTTAAATGACATTTCTCTTTTTCCTGTTTATTTTTCCCATCATTCATTTTTCTATCTATCTTGCATATAAGAATTCAGGAAAGTTTTCCACCTTGAACTGGATGATCTCGAAGGAAATATTTCATTGTGGAGAGAAAGGGAAAAAGCAAACATATATAATTTCTTGTGACTTGCCTCTGCCTTGTCTAATTTATTTCTCATTAGCAGAAAAATCTTTGTTACAAAATAGAATTCTATAGCCAAGAAAGAGAAAGTATCTATTTTGCTTTGTTTTGAGTAATCAAAAAAGAAAAACAAAATCCAGCAGAGTAGAAAGTGACCATGGAGAAGAATTCATCATGGCAGATGCTGACATAAGAGGGGCCGGGACAAATTAAAAATAGTTGGAGCATTTCAAAGATGTCTACTGAAAATTGTTTTGGTAATATGGTGGTGCCTGTTATTCTGTGCCTACAAATATATTTTTTAAAATCACAATCACATTTCAAAAGGTAGACTTAAGGAGGGCTACAAGGGGCCCTCTCAAATGAATGAGTTAAAGAGGTGAAAGAAGAGAAAAACACATTGATAGTCCTGGTTTGCATCTATCAAAATTCATTAGTAATAAGTATCCAAACTATTTTAAATATAAATCCTGTTATACAAAAGTGTGCATAAGAACACACTTGTACTTTCATTAGGAAAAGAGAGTTCTGAGGGGTATAAGGTGTTTTTCAAGGGTCACAGAACTCAGTACATTTCTTTTCACATCCCCACTGCAGAAGATTACACAGATATGAGCAAACACATGAAAAACAATCACAATTACTGTTTCATTAAAAATAGAAAAATTAGTTATGTTTCAAAGAATAACAACACATCTCTTTTACCACAACTCCTTGCTCCTTCTTTTACCAAAAGATTTTGCCTGGGGAGTTAAATTAGCCATTGTGCCCCAAATTTCCTCATTTCTAGAACCCCACACGGACTTCTGAAGAGGTTTAAAAATGCAGTGTTTAAGTGCTGCCATAACTTGTGTTTTCACTGCCTTCGAGGGAGGCCTCAAGCCAAATTCCTCTTCTTTCAGATCCTACAGATTTGTTGGGTACTGAGCCAACTAGGGTGTTTCTTGCACTGGGCTGCTGATCCTTTGTTGCATGAAGACATACACATTTCTACAGGAGAAGGCAGCAAGTAAATAGATAGTTCATGGCAATATTAGCTCAGAAAGCATTAGGAGAAAATTCCACAAAGGCAATAAATATCTTCCCCAGCAAAATGTGAAGCAGAGAATCATCAGACAGTGATTTACCTACTGACAAAAGGTAAGAGAAAAAGAGAACTGCAGTCAGGCTAGTCACTGGATCTCTGGAGATAACAATGGACTCTTATTGTGTCCAAAGCACATCTAGGATGCAATAATCCTTGCTTTACACCATATTTACTAAGGTAACAATATGGACGTAAATTGACATTACTGTATGTGTTTATGTCTTAAGTTAATTTTGTTTGTTATATTTCTGTACATCATTTCTCATTGGTGGTCAGAGGATATAAAGAAGGAGTGGGGTAAATTCAGAGGTGTCAAGAAAATCAAAGTAACCTGCTGATTTAAAGAATGTCATACAAAAGGAGGTGGGTGTTTCTGACTCATCCATAACTCAAAATGCAGCTCCATTTTGACCTCATGACCAGGCTATTTCATCACTACGAGGGAACCGCTGTTGATGTCTACAATGTTGATGATCCTAAGGTCAAAAATAAAAAAGCCACCACCCAAAAGGCTATTTTAATAGAAACTTATGACAGTGAATCCAGTTCAATAGTTTTCAGCTTATATTTTCCAAATCCAAAACTCTTCAGGGTAAGTTGCCATTGCTTAACAGCCATTATCCAAAATACAAGTGGGAATGTTATCATTATGCACCTCAGGGTAAAACTTTTTTTTTGGCAATCTCACCATCATTTTAATTGTATTCAAATCTCTAGCCAATTGCACAGATGTTAATGGAGCTGTATTTTTGCTTCAATGTCTATTGCAATATTCTCATTGCATTCTGCAGGTCCTCCAGTAAACGTTACTTGCAATATTTTTATCAACAGTTTTGGATCAGTCACAGAAACGACCATGGTAAGTGCTGCAATGCCACTGGCAAGAGAAAGACACAACTCAATTATGCTGTGAACACAAACTGTCAAATTTTCTATTGTTCAACTTGCAGGGCCTCCTGTAAATGTTACCTGCAACATATTTATCAACAGCTTTGGGTCAATAGCAGAAACTACAATGGTGAGTGGGACTGAGCATTGAAGCCATCGTGTGAAGGAATGGGATGTGGGATTGAAGTGCACTGTGGCATATTTGTGAGACATTTACTGAGTGCCAATTTCCAACTTTGCTCGCCTCTGAAAAGCAATAATTTATACTACTTTATTTTGTAAAGTCATTTGTCAAGTGTTCATTACTTAATATTCAGTGATCTTATATCTATCGTGCCAGAGAAATTTTTAAAACATTTGATGTTTTAATGGTTTTCTGTAGAATTATCCACAATAAACATGATGCATAGTTATGGATATTTAAATAGGTGCATCTCCAATGCTTCAGAAGTACAAATTTCAAAGTTTGAGAGATGTAACAGTATAGCCAGTTTTTTACATGTAATGGAATTTTTAAGATAGTTGAGCCTCCCTTCGATGCCACATTCAAGATATATTCCAAAGGGCTGAAATTAGAAAAATACACACACACACACAATTTTGTTGACAAGAGAAAGTAGTCCCAAGTCCATAACAATTATACCATATGAATGCCTTTTCCAAAAAAAAAAACCCCTAAACTTAAAGCTAATTAGAAGCTCATTATACAGTATGAGTAAACATGTTTCATATATCTGAAAAAGATTTCAGATACTATAAAATCTACCAGTGCATTTTTTTTTTTTTTTTGAGATGGAGTCTCTCTCTGTCACCCGGGCTGGAGTGCAGTGGCACGATCTCGGCTTACTGCAACCTCTGGCTCCCAGGTTCAAGCGATTCTTCCACCTCAGCCTCCTGAGTAGCTGGGATTACAGGTGCACGCCACCATGCCCAGCTAACTTTTGTATTTTTGTAGAGACAGGGTTTCACTATCTTGGCCAGGCTGGTCTTGAACTCTTGACCTCAGGTGATCCACCTGCCTCGGCCTACCAAAGTGCTGGGATTACAGGCGTGAGCCACCACAGGATCTCACTCTTCTGCCCAGGTTGGAGTGCAGATCATGGCACACTGAAACTTCAAACTCCTGGGCTCAAACGATATTCCTGCCTCAGCCTCCCAAGTAGCTAGGACTACAGGTGCACACCACCACATCTGGTTAATTAAAAAAAAATTGTGGAGACAGGATCTCACTATATTGCCCAGGCTGGTCTCAAATTCCTGGCCTCGAGCAATCCTCCTGCCTCAGCCTCCCAAAGCACCAGCATTAAAGGCATTAACTACTACACCCAGGCTTCTACCAACACTCTTCATAAATGTCATGGTCATGTTACCTGTGACATAGCCTATTGGATCATTAGTCTTACCCCCACAGGGTTCTCGGCTACAGCATGGAGGTTGCATTTTGGGTGAGATATTTTCTTGGTCCCCATATTATTTACTTTAAGTCCTAAATCAATTGGCTGGGTCTAATTTGCATTACTATGTAAAGTTTACAACCATTCATTTGATAAAACCAAAATCAAGTGTAATTGAGTTTGACTAAGTATTATGGTGCCTGATGTCCTAAAAATAATAAGCATAATGCCATTGAGAAGTAAAAAAAAAAAAAAAAGGTTTCCTTGTTTATATGAATTTTCTCTTTTTGGCAACTAACATCATGTTTAATAAATTACTGTTCTTTGTGGTGTCCTTCATGTTAGGAAGAATTAATTTACCTTTACCACTTTTTTTCCACTGGCAAAATTAGACATAATTCAACTCCATTACCCATTTTGATATTATTCTGAAACATTATTACCCAGAAATGAGACTTGTGAGGCTTTGACAGGATGTGGTGCATTTAAAAATTTACCTAAATAGGATAGTTTTGATAGGGCTATTAAATGACTCATAATAAAAGCTAAACACAGAAAGAGTATATCAACTCCCAGGTTGACATTCAGTTTCTGTCTCTCCCCTCTTGGCTTTATCGTAATAAGAGAGGGGGCAAAGCTTCCAGTAGCCCAAATCACTGTCACCAGCTTTACACGATGGCATTCAATGACAATATTTGCACGACCTAATGCTGATTGCATTAATTAGATTCCCATGTTGCTTTGATTAAATCTCCTCATTGCATCGTATTCTCAATCAAAAATGTAAATGTGCACCTTTTCGATGTTCATTAATGCAAAAAAAAGCTAAACATTTAAAGAGATTAAAATGGAAGCTATGGATATCCTTGTTTTCTGCTATCTTTAACAGCTACTGAAAGTTTAATAAATGGGCTGCTCAGGTACTTCCTGGCCACTTATTTAGTGACCTTTGTCATGCTTCCTGCCAGAAAATTTGGAAACTGTTGCTCAAGGGTAACATACACAGCCTGTCTATTCTGCTGTATAACACAGATTGAATTGCATGGTTAGAAGACTGATGTATATTGTGCTTCTTTTGTTTTACTTCTTAGCTTTGATATAATGACAAACTCCATTTGCTTTAAAAATATATTTTGTTTTATTCAATTTTGGCTTTGGTGCAAAACTACAGAAAATATTTTTTGGAACTCTATCATGCTTGTCAAAGAAGAAATCCTCAGGCCACCGAGGGTAGGGATTGGCAAACTTTTTCTGTAAAAGGCCAGACAGTATACCTAAGACTTTGAGAGCCAGATAGTCTCTGTCACAACTATGTGATTCTGCCCTTTTGGCATGAAAGCAGCCATAAACAATAGTAAGCAAATAATTGTGGTGGTGCACCAATAAAGCTTTACTTACAAAAACAGGCCAAGGCCCAAGTTAGCAAATAGGTGTGGTTGTGTACCAATAAAGTTTTATTTACAAAAACAGGCTGAGGCCAAATTTGGGCCACAGGCCATAGGTTGCCAGCCCCAGATTTAGGGCATCAATATTTAAGTGGATGCATAATAAGAATGTGAGAATTGCTCCAACAAGAAAGGGCCTCATCTTCCAAGATAATTGAGGCCCTGCCTGGGACTCCACCTGGTACACCAGTCTTAATTAGCTCAGGCTGTGATAACAAAGGATTGATTGGTTGGCTTATAAACAACACAAATTTATTTCTAACAGTTCTGGAGGCTGGAAGTGTGAGATCAGGGTACTAGCATGGTCAGGTTCTGATGAGAACTCTATTTGGGTTACAGACTGCTGACTTCCTCTGGTATTCTCGCATGGTAGAAAGAAAATTATCTGGGGCAGTAATCCCCTTCATGAGTGCTCTACCCTTACGACCTCATCACCACCCAAAGGCCCCGCTTCTACCCTCCAATACTATCACATTGGAGGTTAGAATTTCAACATATGAATTTTGAGAGGACACAAACATTCAGTCCATTGCACACCCAAAGTGTCATCACAGCCCAAGCTTTCTTTACCATACCGCTAAGATTTTACCATCCATGAATTTACTGATAGTTTCACAAAATTTGACTCAGAAAAATTGGTCAAAAAAATTAAACAGAAACAGATTCTTCCCTGAACTGTCTTTAGTTGTAGTCAGAATCCTTAGCTTTATGCACAGTGATGAGGTCATTGAGGACATTGATTGGTGCTATTTTCTGGGGTAATAGTTTTGATTTCTCTACATTTTCTGGAATAAATTATGTCAAAGAATGCCTCAGAATTTTGAGTTTCTAAACCTGTTGACTTTCCTCTCTTCCCTTACACTTCACTCTCACCCCATTATCCAAATAGCATTATTAAAAGTTTTAGTTTGGGGTATTTGTTCCCAGATCAAAGGCAATGATTATATATTTCAAGAAGTCAAGATGGCTTTCTTTGTTGCTATCCAGTCTGCCCTTCCTATGGTTAATGAAGTCCCACTAATTTATTGTAGGTGTTGCCTGCCCACAAAGTAGAGGCCTGCTTACAGACCCAATACCAATTCTCACTCTGATATGTTAGTGTCAGAGATGTGTACTCACAGGACAACACATTTGTGTTACTCTAAGGAGTATTTTTATGTATCATTATTTTTATGGATATATTATTCAAAAATGCATTTTTGTTCATTAAGACACACAGAAATCTGTTAGTGTTCATTGCTAGTTGCCCCAGCATTAAGAGTATTCAGTGGAACAAATTTTGTGTGGTCCCAAAGACTTAGATGACTAATAAGGAGAAAATGATAAGATAGGTTATATTCTGTTTTTGAAATGTGAGTTTACCGTTTTCTTTTATTTTTCTCTTTTCTTTAGTTTCTGACGGCAAGTGAATTTACAGGATGGGGAGTATATTTGCAACCCCTATTTCCTGATATAAAGGCATGGTTTGAGAATTTTAGTAATGTCAGTAAGGGTCAAGGGTGCTTTCATACCATCTGTATATAGCTTTCCCATAAGTTTGGGCCATCAGAAAATAGAGAAAAGATGCTCTCTTCCCAGCTTCCAAATGACTGCCTGGAAGGATGTAGGTAGATAGTGTGTGATTTGGACATATGGATGCTGGAACACTATCCATGCTACAGCAGTGGATCCTAGTCTGCTCCTTATTTAACAGATAGGAGGGTGAACTCAAAGTGTACAAAATGTGTCTGCTCAGAGAACATCTCCAGAATATAATTCTAGCTCCCTCAAATCCTTCCCCACAACAGACATTTCACATGCTTTGCTGGTTACTTCTGCAGAATGAAGAGTTGTTTTATCTCCAATCTGAAATCACATTCCTGAAGAACTCAGATTAAGAAGATAGACAGCCCCTTATTAGAATGCATGTTGTGCTGTAACTGCTGAAATGAGACTGTGGGTCCCCTTTCATTCTATAGCTGCGTAAACAAGTTATAAGAAGATGCTGACTTATCAGGGATAGCAGGTAGCTACATTTCTTATTTTTGACTTCTTAAGGAAGAATCAAGAATCTATTACAAGCCTGACTTTTTTTTTTTTTTAATGGAGTCTCCCTCTGTTGCCCAGGCTGGAGTGCAGTGGTGCAATCTCCACTCACCGCAACCTGCGCCTCCTGGGTTCAAGCAATTCTCCCACTTCAGCCTCCTGAGTAGCTGGGTCTACAGGCATGCACCAGCACACCTGGCTAATTTTTGTATTTTTAGTAGAGACGGTGTTTCACCATGCTGGCCAGGCTGGTCTCGAACACCTGACCTCAGGTGATGCACCCACTTCAGCCTCCCAAAGTGCTGGGATTACAGGCATGAGCCACAGCACCTGGGCCAAGTCTGACATTTTTTAAACAAACATATAAGGTGACCTTGGTCTCTAAATTAGCAGTGCAATGGTAAAGCCTCAATTTATCATAAAGTAACTGCCCCCTATAACTTCAAACTCAAGGTTAGCTTTCCCATATTAAAGCTCGCACAGACTTGAGATTAGGCCTACTTTGGGCACTCTTCCCAAGAGCTACTGCCTCCAAAATGCTCTATGAACTTGATCATCAGGATGAATGTATTTGAAAATAAGTCATGGGAATTTGTATAGTTTAGTAAATAGGTAAAAAAGAAAAACAAAAACAAAAACCGTATTGAAGCTTTTTTCCATACACCCTAATCTTTACAACTTAATTATTTTTTTCCCTTTTGATCCTGGGGGAATTCACCCAAACTTGCCATCCTGAAATGGTCTCCAGAGTAGAGTGACTCCCAGTAGAGTGACCAACTATCCCAATTTGCCTAAACTGAGGAAGTTCCCTGGATGTGAGAGTTTTGGGGCCAAAATTGGGAAGTTCTCAGGCAAACCAGGACAAGTTAGTCACCATTAGAGTAACGTAAACAATGACCAAAAATCCAGTTGCCAAATATGTGGAGATGGAGCAAGTAAGGGTAAAAAATGTAAAGGAAAGAGAGTAATAATGAATTAGTATATATCACACTTGTGGTCACACGTAGCAATAGTGGATAACTACTAGCTCTGAAACCACAGACTGGCTTGGTTAGGGAATACTGTTGAAGCCTCAATCGGAGTCCAGATTATCAAGTGAAGTAGTACTTTCAATGAACCTAAGGTCTTTGAGTAGAAGTCCCCAGAAGAGCAGTCACTGCCCCCAAGCTATTCATTAACAGAAGAAAATTCCCAGACCAAATGGGAATGCCAGGGGTGTACCTAAGTCTCCCACAGTGTTCTGATTGAGAACGTGAAACATCTCTGGATAAAGCATCAAGTTGGCTAGTGTAGATACAACACATTCAGACAAAATGATAAGAATTTCAAAAGTAAGTAGCTGCAAGGAAAATATTTTGTCAACATGAAAGATCTTAATGTTTACGTTGATAAATTTTAAAATATTGCCCCATCATGTCATAGTTTTATAAGATTTTCACTACTCAAATTACGCAGTGGGTTTCCTTCTGCCCAGAGCATCTCAGCAGAAAGGGATCAGAGATCATGTGATTTCTGATTTGGAAAATAAATCAGTTTTATTTGACAATCTGCCATGACAGACTGATTTCTGTGTTCATTGTTTACCTTTTTCTGTAGCAAAATCAGCTTTAGTATTATTTCATCCCAAAATGAATAATTTAAACACTAAAAAATTCAACCAAGTCAACCCGTTTTATTGGTGTTCTGGTTTGGTTGAATCTTCCTTTTTCTTTCTCCCTTTTGTCCCCTCTCCTAATAGAACTAAATGGTTTATTTTGACCAAGGTATACACAGTTTGGTTTACTCGGACACCAAAGCTGTATCAAATCAGGGAGAAGAATGAGAGAGAAATGCAAATAGAACTCCTGTGCCAGGGTAATCAGTAACACTTGTCCACGGCATTTCTGTAGGACTACCGAGTGAATATTTTTCTGAGACAACAGTGGAATGATTCACGGCTGGCGTACAGTGAGTACCCAGATGACTCCCTGGACTTGGACCCATCCATGCTAGACTCCATTTGGAAACCAGATTTGTTCTTTGCCAATGAGAAGGGTGCCAACTTCCACGATGTCACCACTGACAACAAATTGCTACGGATTTCGAAAAATGGCAAAGTGCTCTACAGTATCAGGTAAGCCTCCATTGGCTGCACATGTTCGCATCTCCATTTCTCCACTAATGTAGAGCTGCCTGATTCTGCAGGGTAGGATGTATATGAATATTTGACTTTTGTGGTTTCTTGTTTATCATTTGAATCTTAAAGTTGGTGGAGAGTGTCAGAAGTCCCTTTGGTCTCATAAATGTGATTCTCCATAACAAGAATGTATTTGGTAGGATGGTACATGGTTAATGGTATTGTGTAATCACCTGCACAAATGTGTTCCTGATTGCTTCAGTAAAGGAAGTACAGGCTATTCCGTTCAATTGCCATTAAGCATAATATACAAAATCTCATTTCAATAATTCTGCCATTCTGTAACATTCAAGCATGCACACACACACACACACACACACACACACACACACACACAAATTCAATAGCTCAGCATAGTCATTAACAACATACTTATAGCTGGATACATGGAAACCTGGTTCCAATGTCAGCTTTGCTTCTAAGTAAACACGTGACCTTGATCTCTTAACTTTTCTTGGACTTGGGCCTGGGACAGACAATTGCTGAGATCCATTTTTGCTTTTATATTCAAATATGATCTTCTCCAGAAGTGTTATCACTCTAGGCTCAAAATAATCTCCCCCTTTTCTGAACTCATATAGCAGTTTCTTTTTTTTTTTCCATATTTTTTTATTATACTTTAAGTTTTAGGGTACATGTGCACAACGTGCAGGTTAGTTACATATGTATACATGTGCCATGCTGGTGCACTGCACCCACTAACTCGTCATCTAGTATTAGGTATATCTCCCAATGCTATCCCTCCCCCTCCCCACCCCCACAACAGTCCCCAGAGTGTGATGTTCCCCTTCCTGTGTCCATGTGTTCTCGTTGTTTAATTCCCACCTATGAGTGAGAATATGCGGTGTTTGGTTTTTTCTTCTTGCGATAGTTTACTGAGAATGATGATTTCCAATTTCATCCATGTCCCTACAGAGGACGTGAACTCATCATTTTTTATGGCTGCATAGTATTCCATGGTGTATATGTGCCACATTTTCTTAATCCAGTCTATCATTGTTGGACATTTGGGTTGGTTCCAAGTCTTTGCTATCTAATAGCAGTTTATCTGTGACTCTGTAAGGCTCTTATTTTTTCCTGCCTTATTATTTTGGTTATTGCTGTTCATGAGTATAGCATAAAAACATGGATTTCTGGAATTAGACAAATCTAGAATCAAATCGAAGCTTTGCCACTTACTAAGTTATGTAATCTATGACCCTCAGTTACCTTAATTTTAAAACGGGAAACTCCATGTTTATCTCTGTATATTCTTGTGTGAATGAGTAATGTAGTGGTCAGCAAATATTTTCTGTAAAGGGCCAGATATTATCTTAAATGTTGCAGACCAGATTGCCTCTGTTGCAACTACTCAACTCTATCATTATAGCTCAAAAGCAGCCATAGGTAATATGCAAACAATTGGACACGGCTGTGTCTCAATAAAATATTATTTACAAAAATAGATGGTGGACTGGATTTGGCCCTTTGGCTGTAGTTTGCCAACCCTTGATATAAGATATATTAAAAATACTTGCTGCAGTGCCTGACACAGAGTAAATGTTTGATAAATAAAATAATGGCTATCTGTATTTTAAAATCAGTTCTTTTTTTTTAATGCTCAACATCTCTAATCATTAGAAAAATGCAAATAAAAACCACAATGAGACACCATCTCACACCAGTCAGAATGGCTATTATTAAAAAGTCAAAAAATAACACATGCTGGTGAGGTCACAGAGAAAACGGAACACTTATACACTGCTGGTGGGAATGTAAATTAGTTCAGCCATTGTGGAAAGCAGTTTGGCAATTTCTCAAACAAAGCAGAATTACCATTTGAACAGGCAATCCCATTATTGGATATATACCCAAAGGAATATAAATCATTCTACCATAAAGACACATGCACGTGTATGTATGCTCATTGCAGCACTATTCACAATAGCAAAGACACAGAATCAACCTAAATGTCCATCAGTGGTAGACTAGATAAAGAAAATGTGGCGGCTGGGCGCCGTGGGTCACGCCTGTAATCCCAGCACTTTGGGAGGCCGAAATGGGTGGATCACGAGGTCAGGAGTTCAAGACCAGCCTGGCCAATATGGTGAAACCCCGTCTCTACTAAAAAATATAAAAAATTAGCCGGGCATGGTGGTACGTGCCTGTAGTCCCAACTACTCAGGAGGCTAAGGCAGGAGAATCGCTTGAACCTGGGAGGCGGAGGTTGCAGTGAGCCGAGATAGTGCCACTGCACTCCAGCCTGGGTGACAGAGTGAGACTCTGTGTCAACAAACAAAAACAAAAACAAAAAACCAAACAAAACAAAAACTGGCACTGTACACCATGGAATACTACACAGACATAAAAAAGAATGAGATCATATCCTTTGCAGCAACATGGTTGGAACTGGAGGGCATTATCCTAAGTGAACTAACACAGGAACAGAAGAATACTGTTCAGTGAATAGTATAGAATAGTACAGTACTGTTCAACTGAACATGCAGTACAAACGCTGCATGTTCTTACTTATAAGTGGGAACTAAGCATTGAATATATATGGACACAAAGAAGGGAACAACAGACACTGGGACCTACTTGAGGGTGGAGGGAAAGAGGAGGACGAGAATCAAAAAACTGCCTTATAGGGTACTACGCTTATTGCCTGGGTGGTGAAATAATCTGTACACCAAACCCCGATGACATGCAATTTACCTATACAAGAAACCTGCACATGTATCCCTGAACCTAAAATCAGCGTTTAGAAAAATTAATGTTCCTTTTCAGTAGTAAGCTCTTAGCTCTTTCAATTCAAGATATTTGGTTTTTGTCTTTTTTGTAACATCTACCAAATGTCTAGGACAATGTACTGTATATGAGAGACAGTACATTGAATAAAGTATTGGCATTTAAAGGTCCTTAACAGAATGCCCCCTTTCGCTATATAAATTTATTACCAAAAAAGTAAACAGCTAGTCTCCTTGCAAATAATTTTTCCAAGTCTGCAGACTCACCATCATCACCTCATTTGACAACTCTGTATATGATTTGGTTCTGTATTGTAAATTCCATTCTTATACCTAGTAATTTCACAGCATGCTGATGGCTGACAGCCCCAATGTCTTGTGGAATAAAAGAAGCTGCTCATTTGTAAAAAGCGGCAAAGTCACTGCTTGCACAGAAAACCAGGAAACTTCCCCCAGTGACCATTCATTTTTAAGGAAACACAAAACATTCTCCATGGTGATGTGTTTGGTTGGTGTAAAATGCAGTACTGAGCACAACATAAATTGATCGGACCTGAGAAAATGGGACATATGTGGAGTGTGGTGCTAGGAAGGAGAGTTATAAAAAGCAGCACAGAGCATCAGCTGCCCCAGCTAATCCTCCAGGCCTTGGGTGGCATTTGCTCTAATGAATACCAGGCATCACACACTGCTGAAATAAAATCAGATTGTAGTTGCTGTTGTTGCTTTCTTGCTGTTTTGTGAAGGTCTTTACATTCTAGAATCATGAAGAGTATGATGCTCCCAAGCCTAGACCCAGAGGCAATTCTTGTGTCTCTGGTTCCCAAGCATAGCACATTACAGGCCCTGAAATGCCCTGACAACTGTTTTGGATTAGGTGGGGATTGTCCTGTGCAGGCTATTTTATACTTTTCTTTCATTGTGAGTATTTTCTGAAATCAAAATAAAAAACCTTGGTAAAGGAGAATTGGGGATATCATTTTAAGAAAATACAAGCTGTTCGGAGATTTGAACTGCAAGAATCTAATTATTTGCCTAGAAGGGCTTTTGATGAACCAGATACTGTACTGGGTCTAGAGATCCAGAACTAAGTAAGATGTGGTCTTTCCCCTGGAATGACTTCAGTCTAACAAGGCAGGTGGATGCATGATAAATTAAGTAATAGGAATAAATAGGAAACAAGGAAAACAAAAGTGGCTCTAATTTTGCAAATGAAGTATGTGATCAAAATATTGTCAGAATTTGGCAGTTGGCATCCACAGTCCTGTTTGTCAGTGGGCTCAATTTAACTAGAGGTCAAGGAGTAACTAATGCTAATATATGCCCAGCTGCAGGTTTGACTCAAATTTAAGGCCAAGGGGGGTACAGTTGTGTCCATGTCTTAAAGGTGCTGAAAAGTTCCTGCTGACGTTCCATTAGAAAGTAATTTCCCTGCATACTCAGGTTTACAACACAAATACTCCCAGGAGAGGAAATCCACTGGCTTAAATCCATACTAAACTCTAAAGAGCTGATATAAAATTTATTTCTGAGGATGAACATACTGGATTCCTAAGAGGAGAAATGGGATAGAATGAAGAAAGGTTGGGAAAGATACAAGGAAGGGGCTAGAAGTACCAAATAAAAACCCTAAAACTGTCTCCACATACACAGTAAATACTTAAGCAATTATTTAATTATGTAAGCATGTGGTCCACATTTTAAAAAGTAATGTTCTGTCTTGATACTCTGTATTTGCATTTTCCTGAAACCTAAAGCAAATATCAATTGCATTTAATCTGGGAAAAATTCCATGCTTTTCTTGGCTTTGTAGGTGTAGGGGTAGAATTAACTCTATATGGGCACCAAAGCCCAAGGTTTTGATTGTCAAACAAAACAAATATAGAAATATACAGTCCACTGATTTCATAACAAGCACGATCACCTTTCCTAATACTTCATATATCTGTATTCCAAAAGGTAGGGGTCTAAAAAAAAAGAGAAGGCAGTAGACCAGAACTCCGTAAGTGTCATCCTTATGAACACTTGGGGTACCTTGACTAAAATTCAAACAAATCTTTTAAATAGGAAGGAAAGGCCTTATCTCAGTGTTAATAAACCTTTTATCCAGTGATGTAGGACACAATCTTTGTTGATGAAAAAGTACCAAATCCATTTCTGTCCATTTTTCTTTAATATTCATTCTCTAATGTTTTATCTTACTCTCTGTTTTTTCCTAAGTTGTTTGTTGACCTGCCCCATTAATTATTGATCATCTCTGACAAGAGTATACATTTTGATTTGTAAACCTTCTTCAGAGAAAGTCAATAATCCAGAGAATAGAGATCAAGTACTGAGTAACATGTGGTCCTTCATCTGGGATGGGGAAAGAGTCAAATTCTAAATTCAGAGAGAGTCAAATTCTAAATTCACATTACTTACAATGAATCCATACTTGAATCCATACTGAAATAGTGAGGTGAGTCTTGAAGGTTGTACATATTATTGTTTAAACAATATTTGTTGAATTTAATATTGTGAGTTGGAATAAAGGTCAGGACATCATGGGATATGGTGGACAACATGAAAGAAAAAAGGAGAAGGTGAGCATTTTTGAAGAACAGCTCATCTCACATGCCCACAGTATCTTTGCTGATATTGTCTTCTTTTTAAAAATCCCATTGCTTCTGAGAATTTAGTCAGAAATATGACTTTTATAGAAGGATTTTTTTTAAATTTGAAGTTACCTTGTAAAATATCTAATCCAACACCCTTGTTTTGTTGATAAGGACGTCACAATGGAGCTAGTAAGTAGGAAAGCTAGGACAAGAATCAGGGCTCTTAACTTCTGTTTCAGTGCTGTCATTTCCTACCCCCACATTAATTCCTCATTTACTTCAACCCAAGTCCAAAGACACAAACACACACAATTCATGTTGCAGCAAAGGGCATCATTTCATGCTTTTTTATGGCTGCGTAGTATTCTATGGTATATATGTATCACATTTTCTTTAATCTACCATTGATGGGCAGCTAGGCTGGTTCCATGTCTGCTATTGTGGATAGTGCTGTGATGAACATACAATTTCATGTGTCTTTTGTAGAACAATTTATTTTCTTTGGGGTACACACCCAGGAATGGGATTGCTGGTTCGAATAGTATCTCTGTTGTAAGTTATTTGAGACGTCTCCAAACTACTTTCCACAGTGCCTGAACTGATTTACATTCCCACCAACAGTTTGTGTTTGCTTTTCTCTGCAGCCTTGCAGTATCTGTTGCTTTTTGACTTTTTGATAATAGCCATTCTGACTGGTGTGAGATGGTATCTCATTGTGGTTTTGATTTGCATTTCTCTAATGACCAGTGATGATGAACATTTTCTCCTATGTTTGTTGACCATGTGTATGTCTTCTTTTGAGAAGTGTCTGTTCATGTCCTTTGCCCATTTTTAATGGGGCTATTTGTTTTTTGCTTATTGATTGGCTTAAGTTCCCTATAGATTCTGGATATTAGGCTTTTATCAGATGCATAGTTTGTGAACATTTTCTTCTATTCTGTAACTTGTCTGTTTACTCTATTGATAATTTCTTTTGCTGTGAAGAAGCTCTTTGGTTTAATTAAGTCCCATTTGGCAACTTTTGTTTTTGTTATAATTGCTTTTGGGGACTTGTCTAAAAATAATTTTCCAAGGCCAGTGTCAAGAATGGTGTTTCCTAGCTTCTGTCTAGGATTTTTTTTTTTTTTTCTTTTGAGACAACATCTCACTCTGTCACCCAGGCTGGAGTGCAGTGGTGTGATCTTGGCTCACTGACAACTCCATTCCTGGGTTCAAGTGATTTTCTTGCCTCAGCCTGCCAAGTAGCTTGGATTATATGTGCATGCCACCATGCCCAACTAATTTTTGTAGTTTTAGTAGAGACAGGGTTTCTCCATGTTGGCCAGGCTGGTCTCGAACTCCCGACAAGTGATCTGCCCACCTCAGCCTCCCAAAGTGTTGGGATTACAGGCATGAGCCACTATGCTCAGCCCTGTCTAGGATTTTTATAGTTTGAGGCCATACACTTAAATCTTTAATCCATCTAGATTTAATTTTTGTATATAGTAAAAGGTGGTAGTCCAGTTTCATTCTTCTGCATATGGCTAGCTAGTCATTCCAGCACCATTTTTTGGGAAAAGGAGTCCTTTCCCCAGCTTGTTTTGTCAAAGATCAGCTGGTTGTGTGTGGCTTTATTTCTGGGTTCTCTATTCTGTTCCATTGGTCTATGTGTCTGTTTTTGTACCAGTACCATGTTGTTTTTATTACTGTAGCCTTATAGTACAGTTTGAACTTGGGTAGTGTGATGCCTCCAGCTTTCTTCTTTTTGCTTAGGATTGCTTTGGTTATCTGGGCTGTTTTTTGGTTCTGTATGAATTTTAGAATAGTTTTTTTTTCTAATTGTGTGAAAAATGACATTGTTAGTTTGATAGGAATAGCATTGAATCTGTAAATTGCTTTGGGCAGTATGACTATTTTAATGATATTCTTCAAATGTATGAGCATGGGTTGTTTTTCCATTTAGTTGTGTCGTCTCTGATTTCCTTCAGCAGTGTTTTGTAGTTCTTGTAGAGATCTTTCTCCTCCTTGGTTAGCTGTATTCCTAAGTATTTCATTTTTTTTGTAGTTATTGCAAATGGTATTGTGTTCTTAATTTTACTCTCAGCTGGAATGTTATTGGTGTATAGAAATGCTACTGATTTTTGTACATTGATTTTGTGTCCTAAAATTGTACTAAAGTCATTTATCAATTTAGGAGCCTTTTGGCTGAGTCTTTAGGGTTTTCTAGGTATAGAATCATATCATTAGCTAAGAGAAATAGTTTCAGTTCCTCTCTTCCTATTTAGATGCCTTTTATTTCTTTCTCTTGCCTGATTGCTCTGGCTAGGACTTCCAGTATTATGTTTAATAGGAGTGGTGACAGAGGACATCCTTGTCTTGTTCCAGTTCTCAAGGGGAATGCTTCCAGCTTTTGCCATCCAGTATAACGTTGACTGTGGGTTTGTCATAGATTGCTCTTATTATTTTGAGCGATGTTCCTTTGATTCCTAGTCTGTTGATGGTTGTTACCATGAAAGGATTTTGAATTTTATCAAAAGATTTTTCTGTGTCTATTGGGATGATCATATGGTTTTGCTTGAACCTTCCTCAAAATATATGCATATTTTGGCAGGGCGCGGTGGCTCATGCCTGTAATCCCAGCACTTTGGGAGGCCGAGATGGGTGGATCATGAGGTCAGGAGATCGAGACCATCCTGGCCAAAATGGTGAAACCCCATCTGTACTAAAAAAAAAAAAAAAAAGTACAAAAATTAGCCGGGCATGGTGTCGGGTGCCTGTAGTCCCAGCTACTCAGGAGGCTGAGACAGGAGAATCACTGGAACTCAGGAGGCGGAGGCTGCAGTGAGCAGAGATTGTGCCACTGCACTCCAGCCTGGGCAACAGAGCGAGACTCTATCTCAAAAAAATATATATATATATATGTATAGTGTATATATATACACACATATATGTGTGTGTATATATATGTGTATATATATGTGTGTATATATGTATATATATGTATATATATATGCATATTTTGTGCATTAGGTTATTTAAGCTATTTTTTGTTTGTTTGTTTAGAGGAAAAGGTCCTTATCTTTATTAAAGAAGCTATGACCCTCCAACTGTTAAGAGCTTGAGCTTTGTTTCCAGATTTACTGCATGCCTCCAGAATGGGTATGCCTAAAGGTGAAGTGATTAAGGAAATATTGTTTGCTTTCAGTGTGTTATTAAACTGACCAGTTATCTGGGGGCCTCATACTACCATCTAATAACCCATAAATAATTATAAAATTGCCCCTCAACAATAGCACCCCATATCACCAAAGCATCTGTTTACCTCATCATCAACCTTTATCTGACCTAAAACTTATTGGCACCTAAAACTTTATGGCATTGGAGGTGATTTGCTTGTTAATCCCTTTTGATTCTATTTGCAATTCTGGGTGTTGATAATTCAGTATTCTGCCTTCCCAGTAGTACTTGAGTTGTAATAGAGAACTCTTGGGGATTGACACGCTTTTCCCTCTGATGATAGATTACAGGCACCACTGAGAGTAGGTATAGTGCAGATTTCTAGACAGACATCCAACGATGTTCCTCCAAACAATCTTGTCTAATGACCAACTCTACCCACATACATAAAAGGCTAGCTTTTCTCACATGGCCTCCCATCCTTGACTCATCCTATAGTCTGATGCAAGAACTTCAAAAGATTCTAACTTTAGTTATATATTTTTTTATGGCATAGGGAATAAGGACATTCTCTATTTAGATGTCAGAGCCAAAAATAAAATGTACAATGAACTGAGACCTGCCTTAAATGTTGCCAGTGGTGTTGCTTTGATTACCTTACTCTCAATTTTGATGAGACACATAAGCCCGTATTTTCTATTAGAAGGCAGCTATGAAAAACTATGATTTCTTTTCGCTGTGCATATTTGGACCATTATTTATCTTTATGTTCTATAATCCAGGCAAAATTACATTCTCATTTTCTAACTCTGTGTCCAAATCCTCATTAGTATTGTGACTTAAGTAATTAATGTCTGTAACATAAGCGTCCACATCAGAATTAAGCAGTCTTCAGAGAAGTGCTGGGAAATGCCATGGAAACCACAATGATTCCATTCTTCCTAGAGGCGAGCAAGGTCGGGAGGGTGGGAAGCACTGGCATGCACATATGCTAGTGGATTCAGCAGGAGCTGTGGTGTGGAGGGGCTGTTTTTGGAGAGGGGCTCTTTAAAAAGGTACAGCTGAGGGTAGAAATATGAAGGTCCAGAAAGTGCGTTGTATGTATGACAGACTCTCATAAAGTATGGAAAGCTTTGTTGAGCTCCTGCTCAGGTTAGAAATACGCAAACACTATGGGACCTAATATTGGTTCAGACACAACAGAGTAAGGATCTTGTATTAGTCAGGGTTCCCTAGAGGGACAGAACTACAAGTTACATATTACATATATTTATGAAAGGGAGTTTATTAAGGAGAACTGACTGACTCACACCATCACAAGATAGAGTCCCATGATAGGCTGTCTGCAAGTTGAGGAACAAGGAAGCCAGTGGTGGATCAGTCTGAGTCCCAAAACCTCAAAAGTACGGAAGCCGACAGTGCAGCCTTTAGCCTGTGGCCAAAGGCCCAAGAGCCCCTGGCAAACCACTGGTGTGAGCCCAAGAGTCCAGAAGCTGAAGACTTGGAGTCTGATGTTCGAAGGCAGGAAACATCTAGCACAGGAGAAAGATGAAGACCGGAAGACTCAGCAAGTTGGCTCTTCCATCTTCTCCTGCCTGCTTTATTCTAGCCGTGCTGGCAGCTGATTAGATGATGTGCCTAGCCAGATTGAGGGTGGGTCTGCCTCTCCCAGTCCACTGACTCAAATGTTAATCTCTTTTGGCAACACCCTCATAGACATACCCAGGAACAATACTTTGCATCCTTCAATCCAATCAAGTTGACACTCAATATTAACCATTACAGATCTTATGCTTGTTTGGAGGAAAGGAGAGACTTGATCAATGAAATACATGGCAGCTAGCATGACCACTTGTCCTTAACTGTTTACGTGACTGGACTAGCAATAGCAACCAGTAGGTTTTCTTCCATTTAGAGGTAACCTTACATTTCATTAACATTCATCAGTTTGCTCTTCAGGCAATGGTACAAAGAACAGAATATTGAGAAGATGGCTCAGGGCATTGTGATCTCCACACTTCCTTTCATCATTTACTGTATCTCCCAGGATCATAGAACAGCCTTTCCAGCTCCATAAGTTTATCATTCTGGGTCTCAGTTTCCTCTATAAAATGAGACTGAACCAGACACTTAGACCAAGTATGAGGCTCCTTCTAGCACTATTATAAGTCTGTAACTCAAAATAACGTCCCTCTCCTTCCCAAACCACAAAACACTTTCCTGATGAGTAAATAAGAGTGCATTCTTCATGTCCCTTAGGGCTTGAGTCAGCAGAGGAGATTCAGAATTTCAAGGTGCCTGTCTTAAACTACTTGGATCTTTGAACCCTTTTCTCCTGAATTAAATATACAACTCCTGAGAAGAGGAACCTGATTTTGGAGTAGGTTAGGGAGGTTTGGACTACCTGTAATTTAAGAGGCAGCGTTAAAACATTCAACATGGCCGGGCAGAGTGGCTCACACCTGCAATCTTAGCACTTGGGAGGCTGAGGAGGGTGTATCACTTTAGCTCAGGAGTTCAAGACAAGCCTGAGCAACATGGCAAAACCCCATCCCTACAAAAAATACAAAAAAACTAGCTGGGCTTGGTGGCGTGTGTTTGTAGTCCCAGCTACTTAGGGGGCTGAGGCAGGAGGATAGCTTGAGCCCAGGAAGTCGAGGCTGTAGTGAGCCAAGATCATGCCACTGCACTCCGGCCTTGATGACAAAGTGAGACTCTGTCTCAAAAAAAGAAAAATTCAACATATAGTTTACACAATGACAAATACTCAGTATCAAGTGCCCTGAGAAACTTCCCAGTCGTAAACTAGATCATTTGTACCCTCTGATTCAATCACCAGGAATATCTGTGAACTATTATTTTAGAATATGTTCATGAAACATAGGTTTATATACTTTTAGACAATTACACAAAGATGGTTGGCTGGGAAAATAATTGACTGAATATGTAGACTAAAGGAATCATGTGGTAGATTTGAGCCAGCAGAGTTGAAGAGCTAGTCTGCTATTATTACTCATCACCTGAACTTTCTCATGGCAGAAAGCCAAAGGAAAACCAGAGGTTCTGGTGAGGGTGCTCAACTTACATTAATGTGGGCTTCTACCTGGTCCACACTGCTGCTTTGAAAGGCTCCCTGGATGACATTAATACCAAAATAAACATGCATAATGTCACCATGGCTCTTATGAAACATATGAATTACTTTAGTTCATTCTCACAGCACATAATCCAAAGGAAAAGGTACTTTATTTTAAAATGGAAAAAAAAATGTGTCCATCTGCGTATCTCAGCAGTCTCTCCAACAAGTTTCTTCTCGCTTGTGGTGTTTAAAATTACAAACCAACATCTGTATCAAAGAGGATACGATATTTATCATTGGACAGTCATTAAAAGATTATTAAGTACGTATATTAATACAATTATGTGAAGTTCCACATGAGATATACTCTCAGAGCAAAGCCATCTCATTTCTGATTGATTGGTTATTTCAAATGACAATAAAATAAAGGTTTTATTTGATGTTTCATTTTAGTATGGATATTTTGCTAAACTTGAGCAGTCAGATGAAGGATAGAAAGCAAAAAGTATGCTAGGGGATTAAAGACAGAATTCTATTGGGGTGGGACAAATGTCAGTTCTGAGGGTCAGGAATACTTGGATTCAAATCCAATTTTACTAAATGACCATAAAAAGTCATTTAACCTTTCTTTGACCTGCAGTTTTTCTCAGTTCCAGATTCACAATAAATGTTCAATGAATGTCTTAATTATCCCTGAGTTGGCTGTAGGATAAAAGGGAGGAAGTAAGGGCGACAACGCCCCTTACCTTCCTTAACACATACGTATGGACATACTTGTACCATTCAGGCTCCACTCACTTTCCACACTTAGTCCAAAGCAGATGGATACTCTCCTTGCCTTGAGTTTCCTCTTTTTGGGAGACATGTAGCTCATAACAGAGGTGACAGTTGCATCTACTTTCAGATAATAGTTTAGCTGATGCTGTTCCTCCCCTTTAGCTGCTTGTTAAAAGTAAACTGAGGAATTATGCTTGGTTTCAAAGTGTTATCCAGTCAAGGATGGACCATCCTATCAACTGACCAGAACTCCATTCTCTCTCCAAACTTTGCCACCAGAAACAGTGGTCAGTAAGTCTCCATCAGTTACCACAGTGGAAGTCTTTTTAACGCAGCAAAATATCAGCCAGGTAACACAATTTTGCCCTCAGTTGTCAACAGGTACAAGGTTACTTTGGTTTTCTCAAAACGGTATCTGCAGTTCATAAGCATGCTTACACGTGTTCTCTTCCCCCTTTTTTTTAAAGTAAAATGAACTCAAAACATTTTAAAAATTGCTACACTGTACAGTAACTTTCTCCCTTTCTTCACCTCAGTGCCACGATTAAATAGCTGTAATACTAGACGCATAGTAACAATGAAAAAGGCAGTTCTCATTATTTCAATGTGCAGGCTACATTTTACCTTCACCAATGTTTTGATATATAAATACTAGATGTGAAATGACTTTGAAATGTAAAATGTAACTAAGATGTGGGGGAGTATTGATTATTTAAATCTTTGGTAATTTGAGTTCCTTCCTCTGATGGTGTTCAATTTATCCCTCTTCTATTCAACACCTTCAAAACATTTTCATCCAGGAAATATCAAAGCATTTGGGAAAATTTTAGCTGCAGATTTATCAGTTGCTCTCCAAGTTGAATCCAATCCACATTTGGACTTAATTAACATGGGCCAACCATATGTGTGCACACTTTCTGAAAGGACCACACACAGATGGGAACAGATATTGTATTTTTGTCCTTCCCAGCTACTATTGCTCAGTGCATATGGGTATTTTTTATGATGCCTTTATAATATTTGGTAAACATGGACCTTCCTACTCAGCCACTGGGATTTTAGTCAGGGGAGAGGAGAATAGCTAATGAGCCAAGCAGTGTTGCCATTTATCTCCTCTACATCCCAAGGTCAACAGGAAAAAAAAAAAAAAAAAAAACAGCAAAAGTGCTTATTTGGAATTAATAGAGAGGAAAGAGTCTAACCATACAGCTTAGAAACAACCTGGGATTTAGGTCCAGCCTTAGACAATATTGAAAAAATGATGTGTCTCTGGTGCCCAGCCACACTGTTCTGAGCCCTGTTTTTCATCTAGTTTCATCTTTCCCTTTGATTTTCTTAGTATGACAGTCTGCCCTTGGAGATATCAATAGGGAATCTGGGAATCTATCAATTTATTTACACAAAGAAGGAAATGAGTAACAGTACTTGAAACACATTTCTCTTCCTAGCTTTGCATCTTAATAGTCAAAGAAGCCTTTAGCTAAATGTGTATTTATTTATTATATATAGCAGCTAAGAGTTGGAAGGTGTTTGAGCAAGGATATATTGGGACCTTTGTGGAACTCCCAACAATTTATACACCATTAATTTTTCAAACTTTGATTAGGTGGAAAGTCTTCCCAGGTGCCAAGCTCAGGGCTGGAGTAGGCAGGACTCTCTCTATGCATTACATGATGTAAGTTCAAAGTAGCCATTTAATCACAGAGCTTTCAGAAATGGTAAGTTAAAAAATTTCATTCCTTGCCTGCCTAACCAGACTTGGACCAATTCCTTTTGTTTTCTGTGAATAAAGATCCTCATGTGGGTACCTCAGGTTCAATTCAGGAGCATCAAGTCATGCTTCTCTGATAGACCAAAAGGGCCCTCTAAGGATCCAGGTATGTAAGAATAGATAACCTGCTCTACCCGATCACTGTGAGTGCTTATCTGGGCCCCAAGGGAGTAATTAAAGGTCCTTTACTTGATTCTGTTCACGTGTGTCTGATTCACATCATCAAAAGTATTGTCTAAGTGGGAGAGTTGGAAACAACTTCGAAAAGTTCAATAATAAATTGAAACTATTAGGATACATATCTGCAATTCTGATATTAAGTTGTGATCTCCTTCAAGAGACACACTGTCTTATTTTAAGTGTCTGGTGCCTGGTGCCCAATAAATATTTGCCAAAATATTGCTGAATGGATGTATAATACTAAGTTACAGCCCAGATGCAGTCCTGCTTAACACCAATCCCTCCACAATAGGACCTAGAGCTAGTCTTCCCATGTACTCTGTTCTTTATGACCAGTACCATGAGATTTCCTAAAATTTTTGTTGTGGTTCATTCAATGCAGGTTGCAGCCACCTCCCTAACTTCTTTTGAAATTTCTTGGTGGCCTATTTTCCAGACATCAGAGACAGTAATCTGATATGCTGCCATCGCCCTGAGTAGAGTTCACTGCCTACTTTTGGCCTTTGCACACTGGCATGTGTTAAAAGGCATGATGGTCTTGGCTTCTTCTCTATCTTACCTAGAAACTGTCCTCCTAACCCTCTTAGCAGCTCTCCCAGTTTCCTAGCCACATCTACCATATTCTTGGTTGCCAGTGGACTGATTTTGGCTTCACTGCCCTGACTTAACCAGTATACCTCTCCAATGTGACTGAAGCCCATGATTAACACCCCCAACTTGTATCATTACCCCTAGTCCAATCACTTAGCAGCCTACTTGAGGCTAACTGTCCTACCCTAATGTCGAGAGGCTGAGGGAGGAGAATCGCTTGAACTCGGGAGGTGGAGGTTGCTGTGAGCCGAGATCATGCCACTGCACTCCAGCCTGGGTGACAGAGCGAGACTCTGTCTCAAAAAGAAAATAATAATAATATTTCCCAAAGGAGTGCTACTGTTACTGAAAAATTATAGACCTCTTTCTTAAAACCTTCTCCTTTTTGTCTATCACATTGACAGAAATCAAAGTCATCCCTCGGGATATGCTGAAGTAGTACTCCTTAAAGTGTGCTCCAGGAAACCAGCATTGGTGTAACCTGGGCTGCTTTATCAAGAGGGCCTGATAATCTGCATTCTAACCAAGCCCATAAGACAATGCTTATGCCCACCAGAGACTGAAACCCACTATACTAAAAGATGGTTGATCAGACAACCAGCCTAGCGGTGTTTTTTATCCCAGTGATTTCCTAATCTTCCCTCCCTCTCTCCATGTGTGGGCTGTATTAATGATGCACTTTTAACTTGACTTCTAACTTGCCCCCAGGCTAATTTCACTTAAGGTCTAGGTGGGTTAAGATGACACTCTTGTTTGATACTTGATGCATCCTGTCAAATCTCCCTGACACTAGAATGTCACATGGTTCAGAAATTTCAAGGTACAACTGGGAGGAAAGATTCAACGGATCAACATGGTACAGGAAGGCCTTCCTTATGTTCTCAGTGAAAGAGTGAATAGTGTTCTAGGATGTTGGATGACAAAGCCCTATGGAAGCAATAAATGTCTCACCTATCTGCCCAGATTGCCAAGAAGTTCCTATTTTAAGAAGTGTTACTTGCACTTAAAGTTTTCATCATATTCAAGAGGGTAAATTTACCTATAAGAGGAAATCCTTCAAGCTGGTTGCCTTCACTTATAGTTTATAATCACAGAGATGTTGAGCAGGATGGGGATGTTTGCTGGGGGAGGCCCAGAGATTTAGTCAAGATCAAATAGCTCTTTATGGGTAAGCCAGGTCTATCACCCAGGTTTCTGGGTTGCCGGGAGAGGCTGGAGGAGTTTTTAAAACAACAAGCCATGAGGATTCTGGGTGTCTGAGGAAAAATGAAAGGGGTATCCCTGAGCAGGTACAAGGCAACTAAGGTGTCTATGACCAACTCTGCTGGCTTCATAGACAAAAGAGGATAATAAATTGGTAACAGATTATTTTCCTAAGGAGGAAATGTGAAATGTGATAGAGTGGGAAATAATAAAGGGAATTTGATGTCGGTTAAAGCTGTATTCAAATCTAACTTCGGTTGCTTAGTGGTTTTATGACTTTGGGAACAAAGCTTAAACTCTGTGAGTTTCAATTTGCTTATCTCACAAATGGAGGTAACACTGTCTGCCTTGTGTGATAATACTCAGTGATTATAAAATAATAAGAATGCTTGACCCACAGCAGGTGTTCTGAGAATTATGATTATTAATACTATTATCACCATCACTTTAATTTTTAGTTTGCCTAAGTATTTTCATCCTAAAGGAGCACCATAGGTTCCAGCCCCCAGATGTGTCCATGTGCCACTGAAAGTTTGTGGTGTGCTGCATAAAGAGAGATAAATGTGGTCCCAACAGAGGAACAGCAATACCCCCAAGACTCTCTTGTTCGTCCTGAAAGACACAGAAACATCCTCTTGTCCTTCCTCTCTGAACAAGAGAAACTATTGTAATCATTAGAATTAACTCTCCAAAAATAGCATGTTGTCAATCCTTGCTTTAGGGAAGCAGATCACTCATTAAAATTTGTATTTGTACCTGAAAATTCATCTTCTCTTCAAATGGTATTTTTCCCTCAAGAGTTTCATTGGGAATGAACTCCGAGTTCTAATTCTAAGTTCCTTATGAACCAGTAGTTGCTTTATGAGTCAAGCAGCCTTCTGTCTGCCATAACATTGTAATGTTAAATGATTAATTTACATTCTTCTAGCAATGTGAAAATAGCCCCAGCCATGGCCCTAACTAGTTGACCAAGGTTCCAGGACAAGTCAGCCAGGCTTCCTGGCATTCCTTTAACTTGATTTGTTTTATTTCTAGTGAGAATCTGCCAGCAACTTAGCGGAGGCACCAGGCAAGCTTTGACAGTCCTGTAATTTAGCAGCATCCTGTGGACTCTGATGACTGGCCTCGTCCCTTCTAAATCCTTTAACCTTTCCCATTTCCACAGAATAAAAGCCTGAAATTCTCACACAAATTTTAGGATACTGATTCATTAATTTGTTCAATAAATATTTCTTGGATACCTACTCTGGTCTAAGCAGAGACAGGGGTTCAGCCTTCATAAATCTTGCATTGTAGTAGGGAAGAAAAATAAATAAAAAATATAAAAATTACAATATTTGATTTAACAACTGTAAAGGTAACTGAAATAGTTTACAGTGTCTGCATCTATCAGTCATTTAAATTTTAAGTGAGGTATAAACCCAAGAGATGGTTTTATGAGCAAGGTGAACTCAATAGGAAAGTAGTAAGAAAGGGAAAGGGCAGGAAAGGTGAGATTTTGGGAGACGGACTTTCTTTGCTTTGTTCTATTCTTTGCCTTTAAAATAGGAATGCTTGCTCAGCCTTCTTACTTTCAGTAAAGAAGCAGGGCCTCTGTGAAGGAACTTTACTTCTTCCCTTGTGCAAACAGGAGCAGGGGTGCCCTGAATGCACAGTGGAGGAACGGACAATAATGCTTCAGGAAATGAGTTATTTAACAAAAATCAAAAGGAAGAGGGGCAGCCTCAGCTCAATGCCTTCATGTGCAATGGCCTTAATATTTCAGATTATCGGGGAAGAGGACAAATCTGACATGCTGGTCAATGTCTGCCAGTGAGAAGTCTGAGTGTCCAGGCAAGTTCGGAAGACTACTGGCTTCCCGACTAAAATAGTTAATTCTGTGAGACCCACCCAAAGTGGGTGAAAAGCCAGAGCAAAGGAGATAAAAATTGTTCACATTTTAGTATATTGGTGTATAGACATATCAGCCTTATTTGGTGCAATTTCTGCATGTCTGTACAAAATAATATCAAGTTCTTTTTTTCCCCCAAACTCATATTTAAAAAATCATAAAATAGCCTTTTTAAATAGCAAATGGGGTGGCACTTTTGTAGATTCTTGTCTGGGAGCATAATGAAATATTCTAGGGTGATGGGAATGCTCTAAATCTGGATCTGAAAGCTTGTTAAATAGGTGAATACAGATGTAAAAAGTAATTGCACTGTATCTTAAGATTTGTGTTTTTTTACTGTATTTAATGTACACTTCAGTAGAAAAAATGAAAAAGGAAAAAATAAGTAGCGGGAAAAACCTAGATCTTAGGCCTTTAGATGCACGGTAGACTGGATGTCATAAATGATGAGCTCTGAGGCTCAGGCAGGGACTTATTAGATCTTTACAATATCTTTCTATTTGCTCATGATTTAACAAACTGCGGAACTGTTAACTCTCCTCCTTATTATTGGCACCCACTGGGTTCCAGTACAAAACCTATCTAGAAAGGAAATTAGAAAAACAAAGAAGAAAAAAAAACCCACTGAGTTCTCAGCTGAGACAAGATTCAGGGATAGGGTCATGCTTGTTAGGTATTTCTCTCAGTGGGGTCTCCCATGCTGTTAATAGTTTTGGCTCCCAAAATGCTGAGCCCCTCTAGGATAGTTAGATCTGCCACAAAGGCAGCAATAATTGTGTGTGAGATCTCTGCTTCCTGAAGAAATGTGAAAAGGTCATTTTGCAAAACAGTCAAATTCAGCAAGCCTATGATTAGGAATATTAAAGTTGGGTTGTTTCCAGTAACAAACCAATATATAGTTGAATTCTGTGACATTCTTAAAAGAACATGTTCTTTTAAGCTGTGTTCATCTTCATTATTATTATTTTTAATTTCTTTAAACTTTTCAAAACTATAATGAAATTTCCAGATTTTTTGGTTTTGATTCACTGAAACCAATTATCCATATGCCATCTAATTATTTTCATATAATGAACATTTTTTTAATTTAAATTTTAATTTTTTGAATTGTAAATGGACAAATTATAGTTGTTTATGTTTATGGGGCACAAAGTGATGTTATGATTTAAGAATAGAATGTGGAGTTATTAAATCAAGCAAATTAGCATATCCATTCCCTCAAATACTTATTATTTTTTTATGGTAAGAACACTTGAAATTTACTCTCTTAGCAATTCTGAAATATACAATGCATTATTATTTACTATTTTCACCAAGCTATGCAATATATCTCCATGAAAGAAAAATTTATTCCTTCTGTCTAATTGAGGCTTTGTTTCCTTTTGCAGCACTATTCATAATAGACAAGTTATGAATGAACATATTTTTGTATGATGAAAATATTTATTTCTTCTTTGAAAAATAGAAAAAAAATAGATTCTCATTATGGTAATAATAATTTTAAGCTCATGGATCCTTTTGAATTTTTTTCACCTTTAATAAGGTGTCAGCTTTGTTGTTGTTTTTTTTTTTGTTTGTTTGTTTACTTTTTTTTGGTTCTTATATTCTGTCCTTATTTCAAAGAGTTCATGGCATTAATCTACACAAAATTGTGTTTTCAAAAAAACAAAGTCTTTATGCTGGGAACCAAAAACTAAATATCTGTATATCTATAGCTATATCTGTAAATGAACTCCATAATTGACAACAATTTTTCCTGCCTAAAATGTTATTTTTAAGTCAGTTGTTTAGAACTATAAGCCACATTTTTTCCTTTAGAGACATGTTTGGGTTCTCAGAATAGCCCACGGAAGGTAGCTAATTTATTTAGCAATGAATGTGAAATGCTGTAGGTTTGTGGCAAATTTTTAATAATCATGATATGATTGTAATAGCAAAAAATTACTGAACGAAATGGAATTTTGTAATTTTACCTTTCAGTTATTGTTTGAAGAAAGGCACAGCTAATTACACAAAGATGGGAAAGCTGTTATATGAATAGTTTTTATGGACATTTTCAAATAATTTATACTGCTCAATTCAGATAATGCAAGATAAAGAATAAAAACAAAATATGAATCATCCCACTAACCAAAAATATAATGGTGTGCTTATTTCCAAGATTTAAAACATGTTTTTACATTGCACTGTTTTATATCTTTCTTTTTCCAGTCATTATATTTTAATAATTTTGATGATTGTCAGCGTGGATTCTTTGTCTAATCTGACTTCAAATCGCAACCCTTTCCTTTCTTTAAAATACATGTGCTAAATTTTGTTTTGTTTGCTTTTACTTGAATAGATTGTAAAAATGAAGCAGAGAAAGGAAAAATAAAGGAAGCAGGAAGGCAGAGCAAGAATGAGCATGACAGCAAGGGAGAGTTTAGGCAACAGTGTGAGAATTCGAGGGGTCTTTGGATATAAAAGGTGTTTGAGATACGATGAACAGAATTTGAAGCAGTCAACTTTAGAAAAATACGGATTGTAGTATTAGGATCAAATGAGAATAAGCATCATCTTACCTACCTCATCATTTGGTTGATGACAAAACAAATGTTTAGCAAGTTTAAGGTCTTGTTTGGGGGAAGAGATAGTTTGAGGCAGTACTAGGAAGGGAACCAAGACTTACTAATTCTCAATCCTAATTTCCTTCCTTGAATCTTGGAGATACAGAAAAATGGGAGAGCAAGAGGTGTGCATCATTCCCTTAAGGATTAAAAAGGGAAATGGTGGAAATGAGATGGTAGCTCAACGAATATCCTGATATAAGGATCAGCCAGAGCTGACTGGAGTTCAAAAAAGTTAAGGAAAGAGGAAAGTGGAGCAGAGTAACCCCTTCTGGGTGCAGAGAGCTGAAGACTATGTACAAACCGTTGTTTGTTTGTTTGTTTGTTTGTTTGTTTGTTTGTTTTGTAAGATAATGAGTAGTTTGTTTTTCCTTTTTTTTTCAATTTTTTTATTTCCATAGGTTTTTGGGAAAAAGGTCCCATTTGGTTACATGACTTAAGTTCTTTAGTGGTGATTTGTGAGATTTTGGTGCACCCAGCACCTGAGCAGTATACACTGAACCCAATTTGTAATCTTTTATCCCTCACCTCCTTCCCACCCTTTCCCCTTGAGTCCCCGAAGTCCACTGTGTCATTCTTATGCCTTTGCATCCTCATAGCTTAGCTCCCACTTATGAGTGAGAACATGTGATATTTGGTTTTCCATTCCTGAGTTACCTCACTTAGAATAATGGTCTCCAGTCCCATCCAGGTTGCTGTGAATGCCATTAATTCATTCCTTTTTATGGCTGAGTAGTATTCTATCACATATATGTACCACAGTTTCGTTATCCACTTGTTGATTAATGGGCATTTGGGTTGGTTCCACATTTTTGCAACTGTGAATTGTACTGCTATAAACGTGTGTGCAAGTATCTTTTTCATATAATAACTTCTTTTTCTCTGGGTAGATACCCAGTAGTGGGATCGCTGGAACAAATAATAGTTCTACTTTTCTTTCTTTAAGGGATCTCCACATTGTTTTCCATAGTGGTTGTACTAGTTTACATTCCCTGTAGAAAGGTTCCCTTTTCACCACATCCATGCCAACATCTATTTTTTTTTTTTTTGACTTTTTTGATTACGGTCATTATTGCAGGAGTAAGGTGGTATCGCATTGTGGTTTTGATTTGCATTACCCTGATCATTAGTGATGTTGAGCATTTTTTCACATCTTTTTTGGCCATTTGTATATCTTCTTTTGAGAATTGTCTATTCATGTCCATAGCCCACTTTTTGATGGGATTGTTTGGTTTTTTCTTGCTAATTTGTTTGAGTTTATTGTAGATTCTGGACATTAGTCCTTTGTCAGATGTGTAGATTGTGAAGATTTTCTCCCACTCTGTGGGTTGTCTGTTTACTCTGCTGACTGTTCCTTTTGCCATGCAAAATAAACAAAAACATAAAGTAGGGGAAGGACACCCTATTCAACAAATGGTGCTGGGATAATTGGCAAGCCACATGTAGGAGAATGAAACTGGATCCTCATCTCTCGCCTTATACAAAAATCAATTCAAGATGGATCAAGGACTTAAATCTAAGACCTAAAACTATAAAAATTCTAGAAGATAACATTGGAAAAAACCCTTCTAGACACTGGCTTAGGCAAGGATTTCATGACCAAGAACCCAAAAACAAATGCAATAAAAACAAAGATAATATGTGGGACTTAATGAAATAAACCATGATCTTTAAATGGGTTTTTCTAGCTCAAGAACTACATGCTCCAGAATTATCAAAATTCTAGAATAAATGCTACAATATATTGTTAACCCATACATGCAGTAAATGAGAAGACTGTGGAGTTAAGCATTTGCCCATTTGATGTAAGAAGAACTAGCACTTACCATGATCAGTTATACTTATTACATCATTTCTGTCCTTGAAGCAAAGTCCAAGGTGTAATTCTAAAATAGTATAAACTTTATATCTTTTGGACATTGGCGTGGGTAAGAGCCTATTGTTTTTGTTATGTTATATCTCAGTGGTCTTGTTTATTCTAGTACAAAGCTGAGAACAGCACCATTTTGGGGGAAGGAGGGAGAATCAGAGGCTGGAAGATGAAAAATAGAGAGTAAGAGGTTATGGTGAAATACTACAATATTTAAAAAATTTATCAGTGACTGTTCTTCATTTTAAAAACAAAAAGCACTGCCCTGAGTTGGAGCTTAGATTTCATTATTTGAATCAATGTCACTTTGCTTAATGCCAAGTGTATTTTGTTTGTTTCTCAACAACTGGACTTCATAGATTTAAAAATGGTTTTTAATTTTTTTTTTGTTTGCTAAGACTCACCTTGACCTTATCCTGTCCCATGGACTTGAAGAACTTTCCGATGGATGTCCAGACCTGTACAATGCAGCTGGAGAGTTGTAAGTCACCACTGTTGAAATGACTCCCTGCTTGTTTTAACCAATGACCTGGTTCTTTTAGTATGTCATTAAAGAGAAAGGACCCTTACAACTCATTCCCTATATACTGACCAACCCCCAACATCCTAATGGAAAGACAAACCAAAGTGTGTGTGTGTGTGTGTGTGTGTGTGTGTGTGTGTGTGTGTGTGTGTGTCATACAAAATCTCATTATCAATACAGCATAGGCAACCTTTCAAAGTAAAATGCCAAATAACTTGCCTTTCTCCCCCCGCCCAAAAAATAGCCTGATTTGGTAAGCTTTTCATTGAAATGAAAATGTCTCCTGAGAAAATTAAAATTATTAGTCATTAAATCTTTATAGTGAATCACTCTTTAATCAGAAAATTGAATTTCTTTCCATCTTATGCCCATGTAGACCATCACCCCAAAAGGAATTCTGGCAGGAAGGGATAATTGCTTTGAGAACAAGACATAAGGACCTTGGCCAGAGGAGGATGTAAGAATGAGGGGCATGAGATGAGATGGAATAAGACAGAATAAGAGGCATTTCTCTTAGATAAGCAGTGGATACACAAAAGCATGGTGAAGCAAGTAGAAAAAGGCCATCTACTTTGTCCCCTTTATGACCTAACCCTGATGCCACTAAAGTCTTTGATATGTGTCACCATAAGTTGCTGATGCCTCCAAAGTAACAGGATTTTCAGTTAAGAGATATGAATTTCTTTCTGGCTTGGTCTATCAGTTTCTCTGTTTGTAAAATGCAGAGAATAATAAGTGCCACTGACCTACATGGACGTTAGGAGATTTAATGAGGCATGGGCAAGGAAATACTTTTAACTTCTTGGTTTAGAAAAAGAATATATGTAAAAAGACTTATCTATTATTTAAAAAGAGGTAGTGACAGGGTTGATTTCATTCTGATCATCTAAAATCACTATGGATTTCCCTTGAAACATCCCAGAGAAATAAACAAAATGATGAAACCTCTTTATCTTAAGAAGTTGTCATAGATAAAATGAAAATTTCTGATTTAAAATAGGCCTTATGTATTCATTTTTTTCCTTATTGCTCCTTCTCTTGAGAAAAAAGCTGAGAAAAACATTTTCTTACATGATTCCTTCTTTCTGTTTTCTCTACTGCTCCAAAATCTCCCCTGACTCAACCCAACACTTTTATTTTTTCTGTAAAACAGTAGCCGTAGCTGTCAACTGATGTTCATCCAAGGCTTAGAAAATTTGAATTAGTAAATAAGCTCAGTCCTGGCATGAATAATGAAATCAAAGAAACATCATGTTTACCACTAACTTTGGATGTGAAGGGTGGGAATTATTATTTTTTTCCTTTTCTATCCCAATATTACTTTCTTCATCCCCACCTCTTTACCTCTGCTGTCTTCCCCATGCTGGGGCTTCAGGGTGACTGACAAGAACTTTTATTGTGGTGGCCAACGAGAAGCTCACCAGACAAGAACGTGGGGTATTTTGTGAGCTTAGAGTAGTATTTGCTGGAGGTTTCCAAGGTGTACTCACACAGATAGGGTTTGCCATTCTCCTTGTGGACCACCAATGCTTGTATAGGGCCTCTTTGTATCTCCTTGCTTTCCATGTTCTTATTATTTTTTTTTTTTTGGCTTTATGTTGAAAAGGTAGTCCAAAGAAACAGGAAAGTAGATTACAATTAAACTTGCCATTGATTTCTGGGTAGCTCTGGCGAGTCACTATCTTGCAGTAAATAAGAATAAGAATCCATAAACTTAAAAAAAAAAAAAAAAAACATGCTGAGGATTTTGGCCAGCCAAGACCTCACATAATATCCTCTGTCCTCATCACTCTTATCTGAAAAGTTCAAATATTACAAACAAAGGGAAAAGGTAGAGAAATGGTGCATGAAAGAAGAGTAGGCTTCATTTCTAGGGTAGAGAAAGATCCAGAAAAAATTGACAGATGATGACCTAGCTTGGAGACTAAGAGCTAACTTTGGATTACCAAACTGATAACAATTTTACTTTGGATGGTTCAAGTCATATAAAAATATGATCTTTCATAATAGGTAATCTGTTTTACTTTGTATTAATAATTGTGATGAGTGGGCCCATTTAGCAAGACACTAGCACAAATGAATATTCTTAATTTGCATATTCCATAATTTCCTCTTAGATTACCTGCCAATAGTCTTCCCCATTTGCTAAAGTAGAAGGACTTTAACATAAGCTTTCTGAATGCAAAGCTAATAGACCCTAGGAGGAGGGCCAAGTCTGTAATGGGAATGTTTTAGGCAGGCCCGTGATTAATTCATTCTCATTTAAAAAAAGAATGGTTTTCATTTAAAGTACTGACTGGCACTGTGGATTGGATTGTCTTATTGGATTGCTAAAGCCTCAGCTCTTGCAAGTAAAGACAATCTTCAAAGGATTTTTATGTTTGTTCACTTGTTTGTTCTTCAGAAAGAGTTAGTGAATAAAAAGGCAGAAATCAATAGACTTTTTAGATTCCATTCTTTCATTACACAGAAAAAAAATCCATCCATAAGTAGCTTTCTGTCTTAAATTTCTTTGGCTCCAATGACACAGAGTTGTAGTGATGATTGCAGCTCTTTTATTAAGAATGCTCTTGAATTGACTGAGCGTATGTCTGCTTTAGACAGTTTCTTTGTTTGTTTCTTTACATGGGTAGACTTTCAAGCTTTCTTGGAAAGCCATATTCAATTTTCACTATGATTTCTTTACCTCAGTTGGGTACACGATGAATGACCTGATATTTGAGTGGTTAAGTGATGGTCCAGTGCAAGTTGCTGAAGGATTGACCCTGCCCCAGTTTATTTTGAAAGAAGAGAAGGAACTTGGCTACTGTACAAAGCACTACAACACTGGTAAGTTTCTTTTTTTTTTTTTTTCAGCTGTTAAACACAAGTGAGCGCCATTTGCAGTTTGGAGTATACATCTCATTACTCTAATTGCTGCATATTTACCAGGCAAATAGACCTATGTCGCACGGACCTGATTTGGCTCAAAACTCCCTCAACAGATAAGATTCCTATACTCTCTGGAATAGGTCAGCAAACACAAGAGGTAATTTCTCCAGAACATAGAGAGAAGGAGAGAGGATTTAGGATCTTTTGCTGTTCCTAGCTGACCATCTGTTGTCGAATGAGTCTGAGGAAAGATGTAGAAAACC
The DNA here is from genome assembly GCF_000001405.40 of Homo sapiens. Classification (NCBI taxonomy): domain Eukaryota; kingdom Metazoa; phylum Chordata; class Mammalia; order Primates; family Hominidae; genus Homo; species Homo sapiens. Next base: position 14,607,574 of record NC_000023.11, read on the forward strand.
TCATTAGTGGTGCAGAAAACATAAATTCTGGCTCCTTTCTGGCATCCGCTCTTGCCATTGGATGCTTAGGTCAATTTGCACCCACTGTCTTACTGCCTTAGTGCCTTAGTGGAAAAGAGGGACAATAACACAGGTCTTTGTAAACCCAGAAATAGAGCTGTTGTGTTCTTCAGTCCTGGATAGCAATAGAAGTTTGGATGAAAGTCAGCTGGCAGGAATTCAGCTGGCTCTAAAGTCATGTGTTATCAGTAGTGCTGACAGACACATGGGGTTGGGGGGCAGGTGGTGAAGGAAGAACTTGAGGTGGTAGCAACAAATAGGCATCCGTTGTTTTCTGGAAGATTTTACCTGTCCAGAAAAGTTGATGGTTTTTCTTAAGAAAAACCATGGTGTTCATTCAATACTATGCAAGCTGATCATGGAGAGACAATCAAGACATGATGGTTTGTCCAGTAACTGGTCTAGGTCCCTTGCTGAGGAAAACAGTTTATGCACACTTGTTCCAACAGCCAACAGTGATACTTATGAAGTAACCAAAACCTGATTCCAAGGATGTTTTTTTTCTGACCAAGAAGAATTCAACCCTATATCTTGTAATCTGTATGGACTAAGCAAAATTACCTTCTGGAGTTCTAACTCCAAGTCAATTAAGGAGAAAAAAAGTGGGAAGGGGTAGGAATATCTGTCTCTTAAATGTTAGAAGTTTTAATACCTTTATATGAACTCCTTTTTACAGGTAAAGAAACACTGTACGTAGTTCCTAGGCATATGCTAAATGTCCTGAAGCAATTACCCAGAAGGCTAGGAAATTTTTACAATGACTAGACTATACACTGGCTTATACAAATGTACATTTTTCTCTTGCCATTAATAACACAATGATAAATACACAGTTCTTTAAATACTTTGTAGTTTTATGTAAACTGTACTACTTTGGAGGAAATGGCTTCAACTATTACACAGTGTATGTCATGTGTTACATATTATATGCTATATAGTATATGCTATTAATATATAATATACTATATATAACATATTATAACCCCCCAAAATTTGAATATTTTATTTCCACTGGTTATTTTCTGTCAGTCTTGTAAATTCTGAAGCTCTGTCTAAAACAATCAAGCTGCAGCAAGCACAGATTTTAAAAATTAAATATGCTTTATGGTTTTGGTCCAGTGACTCTTTAGATCACACATTCTCACACTATTATTATCACTATTATTCCACAGTAATTATTTCTATTACTGGTTCAGTTGGAGAAGAGTTGAATTGGTTACGTAGGGTGAACATTTTGTGCAATCTTCCAAATCCATCTGCAGTAGTCTTTTTTTTTTTTTTTTTTAAACAACGTGGGATAATGGAATTGGAAATATAAATTCAGGCTGGACTTTAAATGATCATTTCCTCCTTCTAGGAAAGTTTACCTGCATTGAGGTCAAGTTTCATCTGGAACGCCAAATGGGATATTATTTGATCCAGATGTACATCCCAAGCCTGCTTATAGTAATTTTGTCCTGGGTTTCCTTTTGGATAAATATGGATGCAGCCCCTGCCAGGGTCGCACTGGGCATCACCACAGTCTTAACGATGACCACCCAGAGTTCAGGCTCCAGGGCATCTCTGCCAAAGGTAAGAAATCTTGCTTGATAACAGATGACATGAAAGCTTCCCAAAGGTCTTGTGGGCTGGAGAGTTCTGTGAGGACAGAAATGTTGGCCACCCTATGACACTGTCATAGATATGAATGCAATAAGAGGACAAGAAGCTGAGTTTGAGAGAATCAGGGATCTGGGAACATGGGGAACCCTCAAAATCATATCATTTAGAGGAAAGGGAAATTAGTATTGAGAGGGAAGAGAAATGAGTAGAGGCAGAAACATGGCTTAGAGACTCTAGGAAGCCCTTGAGTGCTTTTGATCTCGGTTGTTTATAAGACATGAAGCTTGCAAGAATTGGAGTAAGACTGATGCAATTTATGCCATATTTTCAAGTATTTATTGGTGAAACTATTGCAATTCATATGTTTAGTGAAGTCATTTATAGTAATAAAAATTTGAATTAGGCTCCTGGAAATCACAGAAGAGCCATATCAATAAATATATGTAAGAAATTAATGTACAATATTAGGGTACAGCAATCTGATATATGAAACATTGCTATGCCTTAATTTCCTTTAATGGCTGATATGCTACTATTTTTGAGTGACACAGTTACCCAGAGAAGGAACAGTAGAGTCATCTAAAATGGTGAAAATTCCTAGAAATGTGGCATGGTGACAGAGGAGTGTGGGATCGATATCAGGGACATATAGACAGTTTATAGCACCTCAAATAATAATCCATAAGTGGCTGTGTAATCTATTTTTATAAAAAGAAGGCCATCTGCATTTGTAAATATTGCTTAAGCAAGTAATGATGAATGTCCCACTTTTGAAATGCTCTAGCACCCCAGAAGTGTGCCTTTGTGTGCTTCCCCATTTCACTGAGCACACTGAGCCATTGGCTTCAATTTTCCAGAATATGAGTTTAATTTAGGATTCAGTGTACATTGTCTCATACTGGTTGAGCAGTCTCTCCAAAATGCATTTCCGGAAAATAATGAAGATGTAATTCCATATTTTTGCTGGCTTGAGTTTATGTTTGGTTGTGCTGAATTTGACATAATGAGAAATGTTAGATCATGTTCCACATTATCTCCCATGTCCAGAAGATAAGATGACATATGGAGGAGGTCTGTGGTTATAATAGAGGTGGGCTGAATACTGGAGAAATATTTACACAACTTATTAAGTCCCATGCCTCCAAAGATAAACATTAGGTTTTATATGGTCATAGAGAAAGGAATAGAGGTATCTCTAATACTTTTTTATCTTCTAGAATAACAAATAGTATAATGTACCTGTATTATTTTTCTACTGGAATACAGATGTCAGAAATACTAACAGCTTTTTTAACCTGTATAATCAAAAATCAATTTTACCTAATAGCACTTTTAATCCACTCTGTGCCCCTCCCAAACAGGTTCATTTGCTTATTTATTATTAGTCATTAGCTATTGCCATCACTGCATGCCATGGCATTAAACCTCAGGATGTACAAACATATATTTTACAATTTAATAGACAGCTAAAGTACTGGTGACAAACTGTAAGCATATAATGTCAAAATATAAGACATTTAGCCTCCAACTGCTCATTGCTGTGAAAAGAGTAGTCATTTATCTTCAAAATGGGAGTTTGAGTTTTTATAAATTTGTTATTCATTTTATAAAGCTGTTATGATTCTGCATCAATGGTCAAAACTATTGCTAAATAAATGTTCACTGATCAGGGATCTTTGTATGTAAAGGCAATGAGGAACTCAGATAAACCAAAAGAGAGTAAAATCAAAAATCATTTTACACTTGGCTCTGAACTCATGGTGGTTATCCTTTTGCCACCATTAGGTTTATCTTCCTCTGTGTACTTTTCTTATGCTGTTATTAAACATGGTTGGCTTTCAACTGACCATGAGGAAATGTAACTTATGTGGATGATGGTGTGAAACACATGGGATAAAAAGTGAGTCATGGAAAATGAAGAATTGGTCATACAGTTACTTATACATGCACATGCATGTAAATACTCATTTTAATTTATAAACACTGCAATCCCTGACCAGATGCTCCACTGTGGTGATTGTACATTTACTTCAGGGCCTCCTACAATGCCCCGTACAGAGTACACATGCACATTACACTTTAAAAGTAAGATGTTTGTTATAGAAAAGACAGAAAACACAGAAAACATGATTAATGTTAACCAACCATTAAATAACTGTTGTTAAGACTTTGGTGTATTTTCTTTCAGTCTTTTTTCCATGTGCATTTATGGGCAAGCCCATGCACATGCACACACAGAAAATTGAGGTCAAACTTTTACACCATCTTAGATATTTAGAGTTTTCTTTTTTGCTTTTGTAAGTATGATAATTATAAATACATTTGCATAGGAGTGTTTGTAGCCCACTGTGTTCTAGATAACATATATATAGTTTTTAATTTTTAAAAACTTTCAATGAGAAAAAAGAAGGTACTGAGCATGTTTAGAGTGAATGAGGGAAGATCTATGAGAAGATATTTGATGGGATATATGTTCTATGCAGGCAACAACTTTGTCTTGTTCATTCTGTTAACTTCAACACCTAGAACAGTATGTGGCTTAGACTAGATGACCAATAAATTCTCATCGAATGGATAAATTAATGATCAGCCATGTTCTCCCATGTGAGGCCATGTTGAAGATATTAGGTTGGTGCAAAAGTAATTCTGGCTTTTGTCATTAACAGTAATGGCAAATATCGCAATTACTTTTGTACCAACCTAGTAGATCAGACTTGAAGCAGAATCCATGGGTGAAAGTTACACAGAAAAGTATTTGAGTTTTAATGTACAGAAGAATCTCATAATAATATTACATGTACTATAAAGGACTGGAATTTCTCTAGAGTATGTCTCCCTTTCCAAAAATTCTCAAGCAGACTTTGCAAAGTTAAGAATATATGAACAAATTTACAAGAAAACAAACAACCCCATCAAAAAATGGGCAAAGGACAGAACAGACACTTCTCAAAAGAAGAGATTTATGCAACCAACAGACATATGAAAAAATGCCCATCATCACTGGTCATTAGAGAAATGCAAATCAAAACCACAATGAGATACCATCTCATGCCAGTTAGAATGGCGATCATTAAAAAGTCAGGAAACAACAGATGCTAGAGAGGTTGTGGAAAAATAGGAATGCTTTTACACTGTTGGTGGGAGAGTAAATTAGTTCAACCATTGTGGAAGACAGTGTGACAATTCCTCAAGGATCTAGAACTGGAAATATCATTTGACCCAGCGAACTCATTACTGGGCATATAACCAAAGGATTATAAATCATTCTATGATAAAGACACATGCACAGGTATGTTTATTGCGGCACTATTCACAATACCAAAGACTTGGAACCAACCCAAATGTCCGTCAATGATAGACTGGATTAAGAAAATGTGGTACATATACACCATGGAATACTATGCAGCCATGAAAAAGGATGAGTTCATATCCTTTGCAGGGACATGGATGAAGCTGGAAACCATCATTCTCAGCAAACTAACACAAGAATGGAAAACCAAACACTGCATGTTCTCACTCACAAGTGGGGGTTGAACAATGAGAATACATGGACACGGGGAGGGGAACATCACACACTGGGGCCTGTCGGAGGGTGGGGGGGCTAGGGGAGTGATAGCATTAGGAGAAATACCTAGTGTAGATGATGGGTTGATGGGTGCAGCAAACCACCATGGCATGTGTATATCTATGTAACACAACTGCATGTTCTGCACAGGTAACCCAGAACTTAAAGTATAATAATAATAAAAATATGAACAAAGACATATTTTGAAACATAGGCCTTGATCTAAATCTTAGAGCCTTTACTTCACTCAACCTCTCTAAGTTTGTTTCATCATTTATAAAATGAGAACATTATTATCTACCCCTTAAAAAAATTAAATGAGGATGAGATGAAGCAGTACTTATATAAATTGTTTAGCCCAGTTTTTCTACATCGTCGGTATTCATCTCATCCTGGTTATTTTTATTCTTACTGTTCCCTGTCCATAATGTAGTAGAAAAGACTGCTCCATGGCATGAGAGGTTATATTAGAAAATGCATAAAGGGCCTTATGAATAGAAGATGTCCTGTTCTTTGGATGGCTCACTATTCACTTATAGTTGTACTGTCAATGAGATTAACCAAAGTTTGTCATATGTATGTGTGTACAAGATACAATTAGTCCTCCATATCTGCAGGCTCTGCATCTGCAGATTCAACAAACCATGGATCAAAAATATTTTTAAAAAACAAAGAAAGCAAAACAACAATAAAAAAAATAACCAATACAGCATAACAACTATACAATATTTGCATTGTATTGGGTATTATAAGTAATCTAGAGATGATTTAAAGTATATGGGAGGATGTGCATAGGTTATATGCAAATATTACTCCATTTCATATAAGGGACTTGAGCATCCACAGATTTTCGTATTTGCAAAGATCCTGGAACCAATCCCCTGTGGATACCAAGGGGGCAACTATGTACATATGCACAAATACACGTGTGTGTTTTTTTTACAGATAGTTGATTAAATGGGTTCAGTTCCAGAGGGTCTGAATAAGATATGAGTCAATTTTTCCCCACTCACTACCATTAAATACCCTCACTTGGCTATGTCTTCTCTGCCCCTGGAGGATTCTATAGATTCTCAGTACTATATGCTATGCTATTAGACCTGGAATGTACAAACGTGTATTTTTCAATTTAATAGACAGCTAAAGTATCAGTGACAAACAGATATTTTAGGATAGTCTATTATCAGACTTTTAAAAAATTATCTAGTCTGAAACAAAACTTCAGTCTCATGTACAATTCAATGCTCTTTTCTTCCCTTGCCGCATGCTCAGGCCTGACTTGTGCCTTGAAAATGTACAGCGATGTGGAGCACTTTGTCTGTTCCTTCACAGTTCCTCCCCTGTATTTCCAACTTTTTTCCTCACTCATGTTGCTGACTTCACCATTGTTGAGGGCTGAGAGTAATGGGAAAGATGGAGGAAAGTCTCATGTGACCGAAGCTGTGGTATACTATTAGTGCCTTCTCTAATGGCAAGCCCCCAAATGCTGGATTTCTTGTGAGGTGAACTTGAGTTCTTTGGAGTTCCCAGGGCATCCAACATACTACACCATTTCCAGATGAATAATGTATTCTCTGGGTGATGTCTTACCATCTCCTCTTAGCTATCACCTCCTAGCAGTATATCCCATACAACTTCTTACTCCTCAGGTCCCCTTCCTTAATAAGATAGCCCTTCTGGTTGATGTATTTTCCAGATGACTCACCTTTGGCTATCTTCCACACCATTTATTAGGCTCACTAAGAACTTGTGCATTATTGCCTTGCTAAATGATAGAAATGCAACTTAACCAACTGCTAATCTTTCTGCTTTCACCCTACTATCATGGGTATTCCAGCTAACCTACTGCCTTCAAAATTCACTCAGGTAAGAAAGATATTGGTGTTCACATTTTCATATAAAACCCAAATACTAAAGACAAATGAGAGATTCTCTTAAGAACTCTGATCCAGGGGCAACTTGTTGGAATTTCAGCAGCTTACCAAATATATGGCATATGGAAGAGATACCAGTCTCTTTTCTTACAGGGGTGGGTATAAACCACCTTCTATCCATCTTTAGGAGAACAGGGAGAATGCCACAGCACTGTCAACGTCCACAAATTCCATTACTTCAATTAATGTTTTCGAATGTCTGGTTTTCTGTAATAATACAGGGTGTTGGGTATAAGAGTCTCTAGACAGCATTTTCTGTCTTCTAGAAAGTACTGTATCTGGCATGTATATGTGCAGCGTCTCCCTTTAGTGTAAGGCTTTAGTAAAAATGCTGAGGCAATAAGAATATCCTGTTCCCATACTGTTACACATATAAATATACACTCTTAATTTTAGACTTTTATCCCTATGAGGGCAAGGACTTCATTGCTCTTGGAAATGTTCGTGTACCCACCCCTCAGCACAACACCTGGTTCACAGTAGGTGCTCAGTAAAGAGTAAATCAGTGAATAAATGAACAGTGTTGAAAATACTTGTAATCAAGGGGTATTCCCAGTATAATTCAATTGATGATTCATCCATCCATTTATTTATTCAACTAACACTTATTGAATGTTTTATCTGTGCCATGCATTCTTCTAGGGGTCAAAGATAAAACACAGCCCCTACCCTCAGGGGCTTGTAATCTGCTAGGCCAGAGATAGGCATTTGGAATGGTGATTATTTAACAATGTAGGATAAAAAGATATATGAAGTAAGATGCCTAACCTATTAAGTGGAGGAGGGAAGAATGGGTGGGTGAAGAAGGGAGAGAAGAGAGGGGGAAGGAGCAAAGGAAGTAGAGAGAGCAGGAGCAGATCTAGGAAAATGTCCTGAAGGAGGAAGCCTGAGCTGAATCTACGAGGCATATTAAGTAGGTGAAGTAGGAGGAGGTAAAGGGCATTCCAGGCAATGAGGACCTTCTACTCATAATATTTGGGCTACACTTTTAAAATAAGGCTTTCTAGAAAAAAATCTGGGTACATTTCAAACATGCTTCACACATTTTAAACACGTTTCAAGTAAGAAACTTGTGTTTATTGATTCCAAGTTAATTTCCTATCTTCCTGCCAACCAATACTTTTTGTGTTTTTGTTCTTGATTTTTTGTTTTTCAGAAGTTCAATCCCTTCTCTAAATACAGGAAAATCAAATACCAGCATGATATGTGTTTCATCGGTATCTTTCCCTTTGAAGCTATAAAATTGGTTTTTAAACATACATCTCTGCCAACCCCCAAGAAGCTATTGTGCTGGCAATACTTCTTTTAACCGTTTAGAGCATAAAGCCTCTAGTGGCAGACTAAAGGCTGCATGTTGTCTTTCCCACCCTCAGAAAAGTATGAGGATGAATTGAATGGAAGATGGAAGACTGAGACATCAGGCAGGCTTTGCACATGGCAAAATAAGATTAAACGATTATTTTCCTTTACTCCATGTTTGTTATCACAGCTAGATGATTTATAGCCACTCCTAAGTGTGTCTTGAGTCCTCATTTGTGGCTGAAGCCCAGAGACTATAGAAGTGAAAGCAAACACTGGGATAGCTAGAATGACCTAGGTGTGCAGACGACTCTGACAGGTCCAGAACTGTCTCTTTGAAGCAAGGATCCAGAGGCATTGTCTTTCGCCATTATTAACTGGGATGGCCTATTTCCTATATAAGGAAATTTCTCCTTACTTTTCAGCCATCTGGTCAACTAAGACCAGCTGGACCATTTCAAGCAGCTGACAAACCCAGGACATGCTTGGAATTTAAAACGAAAGAGGCCATACATAGTTTTGCCACATTTGGTCTTGCTTTATTCCCCCTACCAGAATGCTTCTAACTAGAGATTGCAGTAAGAGAACTACGAAAACAGTAAGACTGATACCTGTAGGAGTTTTTAAAGATTTGTTTGGATATCTGTTTTAGCTCTAAAAAATAAAGATGATTGCTCCTTGAATCAGGTATATCCCCAGCTAATTTAAACGACTTTCCCAGTATTTCTGAAAGAAGTTGGAAACAATTATTTTTTGTACATAATCAGGATCTTATGAAGTTCTTGGATAAAGATTAAAAAGTAAGAAAGCCAAGCAAATTGATCTGCAGGCCTGCTTGCTTTAGCCAGATGTCTGCATATGTAGGAGACTTCATAAACTTTCCCTCCCGACATTTCCCAAGCCACAGCAAATTGAAGAGTCGTTGATGTAGTGAGTGTGTGAAAAAAATATGCAAAGAGATGACACGTGAGAATTCTCTGGGGAGAGAGCTGAAGCACCATTGGTACTTTAGTTTAAGAATGTTGTTGGCAGCCTTTGCAGGGAAGCTGACAGTGAGAGAAGCTATCCAAGCTAGGCTTTTGCTCAAGTCCTGGTGAGGCTCGTAAGCCTTTGGGGATGGCATATGGAAATTCAGGATTATTTTGAACTCTTTCTCTTTCCATTTCACTAAAATGGGTAACTATGGGTCCAAATGGCTTGGGTTCTTATAAACACCACACAGTGAGGAAAAAAATGAACTATTGTGGAGCATGCAACACAGTGTCAGGCACTATGTTATAATACATGATCACATTACAGACAAGAAGAAACAGAACTTCTGTCCTTAAGAAGACATAAACATAAAATAGAAGATTATAATTCAGTGCAGTAAAGGCAGATTTTTTTACAAAATGGCTATAATAATTTCCCTCCCTGTGTCTACACCCTTGGGTAATAGCTTCCTCTTACATTGACTGTAAACTTGACCATGTGACTTGTCCTGGTCAATGGGACAATGGCAAATGCAGCAAAACTAGAGGCTTAAAAACTGCTTGCATATTGAAGCTAGCTCTCTCCTGCTACTCTTGGGATGCTGTGACCACTACTATGTGACTAAGACCAGGCTAACCTATTGAGTGATAAGAGACACATGGCCCAGTTATCTCAACCACCAGGTGAGGCCATGCAAACACATGAGGGTGTCCAGCCACTGCCATGTGGAACAGAGACGATCCATCCCAGATGAGCCCAGACCAAATAGTTGAACCAAAGAATCGTGAACAAATAAATAGCTGTCATTTTAAGCTACTACATCTTGGGGTAGTTTGTTACACAGCAAAAGTTATGGCTGCTAAGAAGGATCCTTGATCTAGTCTGGAACTTCCTGGAAGAAGGGACATGAGGAAGCAGCACCTGAACTAAATTTTTTTGAAAATAGATGAAGTTTTTATTTGGACACAAATTCTTACCACCACCATGTTTTAAATAAAATGACTGATATTAACTTTAGTGTCCTTGGAACAAGTCTATAATAAGAATATAGGATAAGAATATAAGAATATCGCCATTTAGTCTGGTGATGTTCTTTCTAATTTTGAAACCACTCTTAAAATTTACCATTTCTTCCAGGAAGCTTTCTCAAATTCTTTGGAAAAGTTTCCTCATAGCTTTCCATAAGAAGAAGCCTCAATTAGGCAATTGTTATGTGCCTACCTCTCTTTATAAAATATCTCTCATGGCCCAGGAAGGAGCAGGATGCTGATGATAAACACACCAATTTGAGCACTCACTAACAATTGGGCAAGTTTCCATTTTTGTACATATCCTTATACTAAATATGCTCATTTCATGAGACAGAATTATGTGTTTGTATACATGCATGATAATGTAGTCATTTATGTAAAGGGTATTATGTTTATGAATTAAACAGAGATATAGTATGGTAATGTTTATGTAAACGGCATTATGTTTATGAATTAAAATAAACATATATATAGCATAATAAGGAATATTAGAAAGCTTTCAGCTGATGCAGTAATTTTCTGTTGCTGTATAATAAACTTTGCTACTTAAAATACCCATTTATTAGCTTGTAATTCTGTAAGTCAAAAGCCTGGCTTAGCATGACTGGGTTCTCTGCCCAGGGTCTTATAAGGCTGAAATCAAAGTGTCAGCTGGGATGAGGTTTTCTTTGGAGGTTCTGAAGAAAAATATGTTTCCAAGTTCATTTTTGTTGCTGGCAGAATTCAGCTCCTTGCAGCAGTAGAGATGAGGCCCCCGTTCCTTGCTGCTGGCTGTTAGCCAGGGGCTGCTCTTAGTTTCTAGAGGCTGTACACATTTCTTTACACGACTGTACACATTTCATTACACGTGGTGCCTTCCATTTTCAAGTCAGAAACAGCACATTAGTTCCTTCGTATATTTCAAATCTTTGACTTCCTCTATACCCAGATTTAAAGGGCTTGTTAATTAGATCGGACACACCTAATAATCTCTGTGTTTTAAGGTCAACTAATTTGGGATCTTAATTATATCTGTAAAACCCCTCCATAACAGTCTCTAGATCAGTGTTTGATGGAATAACTAGCAGGATTATGCACAGCCAGGACTGGAACTCTTGGGGTCTTGGGATTTAGAATTCTCCCTACCACACCTTTGTACTGGAATATTCTTTGGATAGTCTCCCTGATTCCATTTTGCCTTCTATATTGTATTTTCAACACAACAGCCAGAAAAGTCCTATTTAGCACCTCCCTGTTGAACATCTTCCCGTAGCTCCCTGTTGAACATCTTCCCATAGCTCCCTGTTGAACATCTTCCCATAGCTCCCCATCCCACTCAGAGCAAAAGCCAGTGTCCTCACTATGGTGAACAATTCATAATCTATCCCCTATTTCCTCTTGATCTCATATCCCACTAACCTACCCCCTAGCTCACTGCTTCAGGCACACTGACCTTCTTGCTGTTTCCCAAATATAGAGGGCATGTGCTCTGGGCCCCTGCAATGATTGTTTTCTGTGACTGGAATGTTCTGCCCTCAGATAGCCACTTGACTACCTTCTCTACCTTCTCTAAATCCTTATTCAAATCTTATCTTCTCAGCAAAGCCTGGTCATTACCACTCTGACCTAGGCTCTCATCAATACCCTGACCTGATTCAACTTTCTAATTTTTTTTTTGTTTCCCCGCAGTACTTTATTACCTTATAGCAACACTATCATTTATATCAAACTCTATTATGGATTATGTTTATTGTATATTATCTGTTTCCCTTAGCTTGATTATAAGCTCCATGAAGGCAGGGTTCTTTATCTGGCTTGCTCCCTTCAATAGCATCTAGCTCACAGTATATTCTCAATAAATATTTGTTGATTGAATAATGAATGAACATCTACATCTCTAGAGTTGGGTCACTGAGAACTATCCATCTAACCTTTATCTAAGATATGAAAAGAATAAAAGGGAACCTACCTAGCCAGGCGCCCCCCCGTTTTTTTTTTTACTGGTTATTCTTTACCACAGAGAATCCGGCTGCATATAGTATGTTATTCTAATATAATAACATTTTATAAGTTTCACTTCTCTGATAGTATCAAGTAGTGTTACATTTCTTTTTCTTTGATATATATTTCTTACAGAGTAATCTAATCAAAGATATAATAATAAAATAAAATAGTGGTTTAGATAAGAGGGCATCAAGACAGACTATTTTTACCTCAGCTTTGCTTCCTCAGCACTGTCACAACTAATTTGGGGGTTTCTCGGTGTGCTGACGCAAGCCTCCATTGTCCCTTCTCGCTTCTCCAGTTTTTTAGGATGCAGGCTTATTCTCTGAATTCTGATAAAGGTGTCTAAAGATCTTCTCATCTGGACTCTATACAGCAGCTCTGGACCAAAGGTACAGCCCCACACTCTTCCACAGGAGCCCAAATGCCAGAAAATTAGCACCTTTTTCTTTATCTAGCAAGAACTGAGTAAGGTTTTATTTTCCTTGATCTTAAGGTGTCATTAAAGACTATCTGTGCATTTGAATCTAAGGATTGCTTTGAACTTCATCTAGGACTTAAGAGGCCATGAACTCCAATCTGAAACAAACTACAAACTAAAGCAAACCATTTTCCATCCTTTATCACAAAATGGGGACTGGGACTGCAGTTTGCTTTCCAAAAATGACTATAACTTAAAGAAACTGGAATATCAAATATATTCCAGATTACACATGGATTGGTCTCATAAAATCTTAGAGTTCTGCGTTAGTAGAGCATGGGGCCTCAGCAATCTTGTTAGAGATGAGAAAACTGATGTTGATGAAGATTAATCCACTTTTCAAGAGCCACTTGAAGTAGATGTCACTTCTTACATGAACCCCTTATGGTTTGCCATTAGGTGTAAATGGCCTCTCTTCCTTACTTCCACGACGCTTTCTTGCTTCCATGCCACTTTCAATCATTGCATTCTGACATGGGGCTTAGTGATCAGGGCCCATGTGTACTTGCTCTAACAAACTGTACTATAAATTCCTTTTGGAGAAGGCCATATGTTTTTCAACTTTGCATGACCCGTATGACTTAAACAGAAGAGCCCGTAAGTAGTTATTGTGGAAGTACTGTAAAGAGACAGTGTTCAGTGGCTCCTGATTCTCTGTGATCAAGGTAAGAATTAGTGTTGGAGTTTGTCTTAATAAGGAAGGGTCTCTAAAGCAGGGACCTCAAACTTTGCTACACATTAGAATCAGTTGAGGAGATTTCACAGGTTTCCCAGACCCTACCACAAATTAAACCAAACTATCTGGGCATAGGGTCCAGACATCAGCATTTTTTTTTTAAAACTAAAAGTTTGTTCTGATTATTTGTTCTTTTTTTTTTAACACTTTAAGTTCTAGGGTGCATATGCACAATGTGCAGGTTTGTTACACATTTATACATGTGCCATGTTGGTGTGCTGCACCCATTAACTCGTCATTTACATTAGGTATTTCTCCGAATGCTATCCCTCCCCCTGTCCCCCAGCCCCCGACAGGCCCCGGTGTGTGATGTTCCCCATCCTGTGTCCAAGTGTTCTCATTGTTCAATTCCCACCTATGAGTGAGAACATGTGGTGTTTGGTTTTCTTTCCTTATGATACTTTGCTCAGAATGATGGTTTCCAGCTTCATCCATGTCCCTACAAAGGAAATGAACTCATCCTTTTTTATGGCTGCATAGTATTCCATGGTGTATATGTGCCACATTTTCTTAATCCAATCTATCATAGGTAGACATTTGGGTTGGTTGCAAGTCTTTGCTATTGTGAATAGTGCTGCAATAAACATGTGTGCATGTGTCTTTATAGCAGCATGATTTATAATCCTTTGGGTATATACCCAGTAATGGGATGGCTGGGTCAAATGGTATTTCTAGTTCTAGATCCTTGAGGAATCGCCACACTGTCTTCCACAATGGCTGTACTAGTTTACAGTCCCAACAACAGTGTAAAAGTGTTCCTATTTCTCCACATTCTCTCCAGCACCTGTTGTTTCCTGACTTTTTAATGGTCACCATTCTAACTGGTGTGAGATGTATCTCATTGTGCTTTTGATTTGCATTTCTCTGATGGCCAGTGATGATGAGCATTTTTTCATGTGTCTTTTGGCTGCATAAATGTCTTCTTTTGAGAAGTGTCTGTTCATATCCTTCGCCCACTTGTTGATGGGGTTGTTTGATTTTTTTCTTGTAAATTTGTTTAAGTTTTTTGTAGATTCTGTATATTAGAACTTAGTCAGATGGGTAGACTGCAAAAATTTTCTCCCATTCTGTAGGTTTCCTGTTCACTCTGATGGTAGTTTCTTTTGCTGTGCAGAAGCTCTTTAGTTTAATTAGATCCCATTTGTCAATTTTGGCTTTTGTTGCCATTGCTTTTGGTGTTTTAGTCATGAAGACCTTGCCCATGCCTATGTCCTGAATGGTATTGCCTAGGTTTTCTTCTGGGGTTTTAGGTCTAACATTTAAGTCTTTAATCCATCTTGAATTGATTTTTGTATAAGGTGTAAGGAAGGGATCCAGTTTCAGCTTTCTACATATGGCTAGCAAGTTTTCTCAGCACCATTTATTAAATAGGGAATCCTTTCCCCATTTCTTGTTCTCGTTAGGTTTGTCAAAGATCAGATGGTTATAGATGTGTGGTATTATTTCTGAGGGCTCTGTTCTGTTCCATTGGTCTATATATCTGTTTTAGTACCAGTACCATGCTGTTTTGGTTACTGTAGCCTTGTAGTATAGTTTGAAGTCAGGTAGCGTGATGCCTCCAGCTTTACTCTTTTTGCTTAGGATTGTCTTAGCAATGCAGGCTCTTTTTTGGTTCCATATGAACTTTAGTTGTTTCCAATTCTGTGAAGAAAGTCATTGGTAGCTTGAAGGGGATGGCATTGAATCTATAAATTACCTTGGGCAGTATGGCCATTTTCACAATATCGATTCTTCCTATCCATGAGCATGGAATGTTCTTCTATTTGTTTGTGTCCTCTTTTATTTCGTTGAGCAGTGGTTTGTAGTTCTCCTTGAACAGGTCCCTCGCATCCCTGGTAAGTTGGATTCCTAGGCATTTCATTCTCTTTGAAGCAATTGTGAATTGGAGTTCACTCACGATTTTGCTCTCTATTTGTCTGTTATTGGTGTATAGGAAAGCTTGTGATTTTTGCACGTTGATTTTGTATCCTGAGACTTTGCTGAAGTTGCTTATCAGCTTAAGGAGATTTTGGGCTGAGACAATGGGGTTTTCTATATATACAATCATGTCATCTGCAAACAGGGACAATTTGATTTCCTCTTTTCCTAATTGAATACCCTTTATTTCTTTCTCCTGCCTGATTGCCCTAGCCAGAACTTCCAACACTATGTTGAATAGGAGTGGTGAGAGAGGGCATCCCTGTCTTGTGCCAGTTTTCAAAGGGAATGCTTCCAGTTTTTGCCCATTCAGTATGATATTGGCTGTGGGTTTGTCATAAATAGCTCTTATTATTTTGAAATACGTCCCATCAATACCTACTTTATTGAGAGTTTTTAGCATGAAGGGCCATTGAATTTTGTCAAAGGCCTTTTCTGCATCTATTGAGATAATCATGTGTTTTTGTCATTGGTTCTGTTTATATGCTGGATTACATTTATCGATTTGCGTATGTTGAACCAGCCTTGCATCCCAGGGATGAAGCCCACTTGATCATGGTGGATAAGCTTTTTGATGTGCTGCTGGATTCAGTTTGCCAGTATTTTATTGAGGATTTTTGCATCGATGTTCATCAGGGATATTGGTCTAAAATTTTCTTTTTTTGTTGTGTCTCTGCCAGGCTTTGGTATCAGGATGATGCTCGCCTCATAAAATGAGTTAGAGAGGATTCCCTCTTTTTCTATTGATTGGAAGAGTTTCAGAAGGAATGGTACCATCTCCTCTTTGTACCTCTGGTAGAATTCGGCTGTGAATCCATCTGGTCCTGGACTTTTTTTGGTTAGTAGGCTATCATTGCCTCGATTTCAGAGCCTGTCATTGGTCTATTCAGGGATTCAACTTCTTCCTGGTTTTGTCTTGGGAGGGTGTATGTATGTGTTGAGTAATTTATCCATTTCTTCTAGATTTTCTAGTTTATTTGTGTAGAGGTGTTTATAGTATTCTCTGATGGTAGTTTGTATTTCTGTGGGATCAGTGGTGATATCCCCTTTATCATTTTTTATTGCATCTATTTGATTCTTCTTTCTTTTCTTCTTTATTATTCTTGCTAGTGGTCTATCTGTTTTGTTGATCTTTTCAAAAAACCAGCTCCTGGATTCACTGGTTTTTTGAAGGGGTATTTTGTGTCTCTATCTCCTTCAGTTCTGCTCTGATCTTAAGTTATTTCTTGCCTTCTGCTAGCTTTTGAATGTGTTTGCTCTTGCTTCTCTAGTTCTTTTAATGGTGATGTTAGGTTGTCAATTTTAGATCTTTCCTGCTTTCTCTTGGGGCATTTAGTGCTATAAATTTCCCTCCACACACTGCTTTAAATGTGTCCCAGAGATTCTGGTACGTTGTGTCTTTGTTCTCATTGGTTTCAAAGGACATCTTTATTTCTGCCTTCATTTCATTATTTACCCAGTAGTCATTCAGAAGCAGGTTGCTCAGTTTCCATGTAGTTGTGTGGTTCTGAGTGAGTTTCTTTATCCTGAGTTCTAATTTGATTGCACTGTGGTCTGAGAGATAGTTTGTAATGATTTCTCTTCTTTTACATTTGCTGAGGAGTGCTTACTTCCAACTATGTGGTGAATTTTGGAATAAGTGTGATGTGGTGCTAAGAAGAATGTATATTCTGCTGATTTGGGGTGGAGAGTTCTGTAGATGTCTATTAGGTCTGCTTGGTGCAGAGCTGAGTTCAAGTCCTGGATATCCTTGTTAACTTTCTTTCTCGTTGATCTGTCTAATGTTGACAGAGGGGTGTTAAAGTCTCCCATTATTGTTGTATGGGAGTCTAAGTCTCTTTGTAGGTCTCTAAAGACTTGCTTTATGAATCTTTGTGCTCCTGTATTGGCTGCATGTATCATTAGGATAGTTAGCTCTTGTTGAATTGATCCCTTTACCATTATGTAATGGCCTTCTTTGTCTCTTTTAATATTTGTTGGTTGAAATTTTGTTTTATCAGAGACTAGGATTGCAACCCCTGCTTTTTTTTGTTTTCCATTTGCTTGGTAGATCTTCCTCTATCCCTTTATTTTGAGCCTATGTGTGTCTCTGCATGTGAGATGGGTCTCCTGAATACAGCACACTGATGGGTCTTGACTCTTTATCCAATTTGCCAGTCTGTGTCTTTTAATTGGCGCATTTAGCCTATTTACATTTAAGGTTAATATTGTTATGTGTGAATTTGATCCTGTCATTATGATGCTAGCTGGTTATTTTGCTCGTTAGTTGATGCAGTTTCTTCCTAGCATCGATGGTCTTTATAATTTGGCGTGTTTTTGCAGTGGCTGGTACTGGTTGTTCCTTTCCATGTTTAGTGCTTCCTTCAGGAGCTCTTGTAAGGCAGGCCTGGTGGTGACAAAATCTCTCAGCATTTGCTTGTCTGTAAAGTAGATTTTATTTCTCCTTCACTTATGAAGCTTAGTTTGGCTGGATATGAAATTCTGGGTTGAAAATTCTTTTCTTTAAGAATGTTGAATATTGTCCCCCACTCTCTTCTGGCTTGTAGAGTTTCTGCTGAGAGAACTGCCAGACATCAACATTTTTTAAAGCTGCTCAAGTGATTCTAATGTGTAGCCAGGGCTGTGAACTGTAACTCTAAATTTTACTGTTATGTGGGGAAGTGTTTTCACTATGTTTACTATGTGTCATTTAAAGTTCACATCAACCCAACGAAGTAGGTACTATTATTATCCCTACTTTATAGATGAGGATACTAAGGCACAGAAGGGTTAAATACCTTGCTCAAGGTCATACAGAGCTAGACCTTAAACTAGAGCTAGATCTCGAACCCAGGCAGTCTGGCTCCAAGTTGGTGTGTTTAATCATTATGCCATACCACTTTTCATAGTGAACAATTATTGAGCTCCTTTTAGATGCCTTTCATTGTGCTAAACGCTTTACATAGATTATCTCATGACATCCATATGAGGTAAGTAGTATTTTGCATCACCAATTTATATGTAGGGAAACTAAAACATAAATAGCTTAAGCAGTTTGTGGACAGTTACATTTGTAGCAAGTGAAGAACCCAGATTTAAATCAGTAGTCAATTCAAATCCTCTAAAAGGAAGAACTAAGAATTTTAAGTCCCATCACATTGTCCATACTATGCTAATTATAGGCGGTAGCCCTTATTTGTGAAATAAGTTATTTTCTAGACTGTGAAATCCCTGTCTTTTGGCTATGCATACTGAATTCACTGTATATTACATGCAGTTCACATATTGTTTATCATTTTATTGAAGAGGCAATGCTTGCCTGATTGCCCTTTCTCTTTCATATTAGGAATACTTTATAATGGTTCCTGAGGCTTCCAGTATGCACCCTGGATTTGTTGACAAGCACATTCCTCCTCAGCACACTTTCTCAGTTTAACTCAGTTGCTGTTTATTGCCTCTATCAGCTGTAGCCATTTTAACCATCATTTTCATCAATTCACAGCATGTGAGATTATGTTAAGAGCCCAACCAGGTATAAGACATTAACTGTCATTCAGTGGCAACTAAAAGGTTGAAGGAAAGCACATTGGATGATCATTGACAATAAAATGGTTAAAAAGATTGTAGCCTATTCATTCAATAAAATAATAGATGTAAATAAAAATGAAGGAACTGCAGTCACACATAACAAGAGATGAATCTCTCAAATCTAATGTTGGGGAAAAGTTACCAAGAACAAAAGAATATTTGCTGCATAATTTTATGCTTATTCAGTTGAAAAAGAGCAGGGAAAGTTAATCTATGGTACTCAAACCAGAATTATGATTGGATTTGGAAATTAGGGAAAGTAGCGATTGAGAGGGACCATGAAGAGCTAGGTTTTCAGGAGCAAGTAATGTTCTATCTCTTGACCTGGGTAGTGGTTACATGGTTATGTTCGTTTTGTGGTGATTCATTAAACTATACACTTGTGATCTGGGTACTTCTCAATATTTAAAAAAATAAGTTAAAAACGGATTGCAACAATAATGAATCCAAATAGAGAACACTCACATAATTTAGGAAGTTTCCTCTTTTTCCTTTTCCAGAATAAAAATAATACAAGCTGATATTTATTCACTCTATGTGCCAGACCTGCTTCTAAGTGCTTTTTATTCATATATTATTTAATCTTCTCAACCCTATAAGATAGATATTATTGGTCTTAGATAAGTAAATTGAGTCTAAACTTTACAACTAATAAGTGCCAAAGCCAGAATCCAAACTTCACTGGACCCTAAACCCTATTCCTTTTTCACTATGCTGCTCTCCTTCCCATTTTATAGTGACTAATATCCCTTCAACCTTTAAAATGTATGTCCTCCATGCCAGTTACAGCTTGTACGCTTAAGGGTTGATTGATGGGACTGGAGGGTTTTGGCAGCCTAGAGATTCTTTCCATATTTAAGTTCACAATTTTGAGTAATCACAGTAAATCCTCCATCTAGTTCTGAATTCTCACTGGAACAGTCCCACCTTTTATCTTTAGCTTCCCATTGCTGTTTCCTACTCACTTCCTGAACAACTCTTTCGTATGGAAAGGGTTATTAAGAGCTTTCTGTCATTGGAGAGAATCTGAAGGTAGGTACAAGATATTAAACAGAAATTGGCACCTAATAATGTTTCTTGCCCTATGTAACCCTAAGTAAAAGAGTTCTTAAAAAATGAATTAATATTTTGTAATTGGCTCATATGGAAGACCGTTTCGTTTTACAATGAACTTTGTTAGTTCCAAACCGTATGTGTAGATTTCTCTTTTTGTGGGACTCTGTAGAAAGTATGCTGGACAAATACGGAAATAGCATTGATTATAGGATTAGTCTAATATAATTTCAACAGGCAAGAATTAGGTAATGGTCATAGACACAGCAGTCCAGACTTTCAAGTATAGTGAGGGTATCGTGGTTTGACAGCACCAAGACGTAAATTCATTTTGGGGTATACTAATGTCCAGGCATATTGGGGATTGCTTGTTGGGCCAGGCATAATGGGGATTACATGAGGACAAAGATGATTCTTTTACTCATTTATTTAGTTTTTAAAATATTTACAATATATTCTGAATTCTAAGACATACTTTTTCACCTTTTCACATTTCTGAGTTTGGGTTGCGTCTTAAAATTGAAGGCAAAATAGAATTTAATTAGAGATGTTTGCCTTAGTGGCATATAAAATAATGGTGCATCTTATGATTGCTGGCATCTTAGATTTAATGAACTACTATCCTAAGCTTCTAGAGCCAGCCACAGTGCTTGGCACTGGGCATACAGAAGTGAGTAAGACAGACATGTTCTCAGCCCTCAGAGAGCTCACATCCCACTGTAGAGACAAATATTAAGCACAAATTAATAGATAATGCTTATTAAGAAGTAACTCTGTGTGTCATGAGAACATGTAAGAAGGAAACTGGTGCTTTTCCAGTTTTCCCAAGGAAGTGAAGGCTAAGTGGGATTTTAAGGCTTAATAATAGGTACCTATATAAAGGTGGCAGAGGACAACCCCAGAAAGGGAAACTGGTCTGTAGGATTTGAAGTTGGAATGAGCCAGTAAACTTCAGAGAATTAGAAAGAAAGACTGTGTGGCTGGAATGTAGAGGACAAAAGGGGAAATGGCAAACAGGGAGGCACATAGGTCACACAGGACCTCATGGGCCCTAGCAGGAAGTTTGAGTTTCCTCATTATGGGGATGTAACATAATCCAATTAATTTGTTTAAAAGGGCTGCACTGATTACTGTGTAGAGTAAGATTTGAGAGGGGATAGGGTGGATGTAGGGAAACTAGTTGGGGAGCTACAGCTATAACAAGGGAGAGGTAGCTTAGGCGAGATACTGGCTGTCGGAATGAAGATAAATGAATGGATTCAAGATAAATATTGAAGGTAGAATTAATGGGACATAGCAATTGATTATATATAAGGAATTGGTGGAGACAGAAATGGGGCCAAAGCCAACTACTGAAGACACATCATAAGGGATGAAAAAATGAAGACCCATAGGCTTGACCGAAGGACAACACATCAGGGTTGGAAGGAATTGGGGCTTTGAGTACAGCCTGGTGTCTTGTAACTCAGGCATGAATAATAGAGAAGGAAGGCTGTGAGGAACAGTGAAAAGCCTTCCCCATAAAGCACTGGGAGCACAAGAAGCACTGATTTGTAGCTTACTTACCAATTAGTGTCATTAGGTACCGAAGCATACTTCCCCATTTAGGGCTATTGTTGGAGCACAGTGTGATTCAGTAGTGCCCATCTGAACCAGAAAAGTAGTGGGAGAGTTCATTGCCTGTGGTTTTCATCAACAGGAAACAGTAACTGCAGCCCTACCTCTGTGACACCACCATAGGTTCATGACCATCAGCCTTTGGCAGAAAACACCACTCAGGGGTTTTTAAATTGAGATGTTTAGACCATTTCGATTTCCTATGACTGTTGATATGTTTAGGTTTAAACCTACCATTTTGCTATTTGTCTTTCATTTGTCCCATTTGTTCTTTGTAAACTTTTCCTACCTTCTTTTGGATATCGTATTTTTTAATGCATGTAGCCTTTGTTAGCCTATTGTCCATAACTCTTTTTGTGTTTTTTAAATGCTTTAGGGTTTATAGTACATATATTTTACTTATCACAGTCTACCTTCAACTAATATTATATCCCTTCTCATATAGTATAAGAGCCCTACAAGGCAAACTTCTATTTCTTCTCCTCCAGCTTTTGTACAATTGTTGTCATATATTTTATTTCTTTATATATCATAAACCCCACAGTTCATTTTTATTATTTTTGTCTAAACAGCCAATTATCTTTTAAATTATTCCACTAATTTGAAAAAATCTTCTGTATTCACCTTGGTAGTTACCATTTCCAATGTACTTCATTTCTTGGGTAGATACATAATTCCATCTGGTATCATTTTTCTTTTACCCATGGGAATTATTTTAACATTTTTTATAGTACAAGTTTGCTGGCTGTAAATTATTTCAGCTTTTATACGTCTGAAAAGTCTTTTATTTCATGTTTGTTTTAAAAAGATATTTTTATTGGTTATAAAATATTAGATGGACCTTTTTTCCCCCTAATAAGTAGCTTAAAGATGTTTCTCTAATTGTCTTCACACTTGCACTGTTTCCAATTTAAAAATCTGCTGTCATCTTATATTTCTTCCTGTGTACATAATTTGTCTTTTTTCCTCTGGTAATTTTAACTATTTTCATTTTTATCTGGTTTTGAGCAATTTAATTATGATGTGGCTCAGTGTAATTTTCTTAATGTTTCTTGTGCTTGGAGTTCATCAAGCTTCTTAGATTTGCAGATTTATAGTTTTCATCAAATTTGGAAAAAATGTATCCATTAGTTTCTCAAATAATTTTTCTGTACCCTTTTCTGTATCCTCTCCTTCAAAGACTTAAATTACATGTACATCAGGCTATTTGACATTGTTATACAGCTTACTAAGCATCTGTTCTCTTTTTGGTCCTTTATTTTTCCTCTTAGTCCATTTGTGCTGCTATAACAAAATACCACAGACTGGGTAATTTACACAGAACAGAAATGTATTGCTCACAGTTATGAAGGCTGCAAAGTTCAAGATCATGGCATTGGCAGGTTTGTCGTCTGGTGAAGGTTTGGTCTCTGCTTTTTTTTTTTTTTTTTTAATACCTTAAGTTCTAGGGTACATGTGCACAACGTGTGGGCGGTCTCTGCTTTTAAGATAGTGCTTTGCACACTGTGTCCTCTGGAAGGGAGGAACACTGTGCCCTCACATGGCAGAATGCAGAATGGCAAAAGAGGATGAACTCCTTCCATCAAGCCCCTTTATAAGGGCACCTAATTCCATTCATGAGGGTGGAGTCCTCATTACTCAATCACTTCCCAATACTGTTGCACTGGGAATTAAGTTTCAACATAAATTTTGGAGAGGACAAAACATTCAAATCATAGCACTCTGTTTCATTTTAGTTTTTACTGTCTTATTTTCAAATTCATTAACCTTTTCTTTTGCAATGTCTAATTTGCTGTTAATCTCAATTCAGTATATTTTCCATCTCAGACACAGTACTCATCTCTAGAAATTTGATTTGGGTCTTTTTTATGTCTTCCATGTCTCTTGTTAACCTAGTCATTCTTTTATCTAGCTTTTTGAACATATAGAATGTAGTTATAGTAGGATTTGATGTCCTTGTCTGCTAATTCTAATATCTGTGTCAATTCTGGGTTGGCTGCAATTGGTTTCTTTTTCTCTTAATCATGTGTGTTAATTTCTTGCTTCTTTGTATGCCTGGTAACTTTTTATTAGATTCCAGACATTGTGGTTTTTATCTTGTTGGGTGGTGGATATACATATAATTGAAACTTTCTGGGACAGTTACTTGGAACAATTTGATTTTTTTTTGTCTTGCTCTTAGGATTTTTTAGATAGGCAAGACCCCTTTGAGCACTCTATTTAATACCTTATGAATGATCAACTTTTCCAGTCTGGCTTATGGAAACAAGAACTGAGAACTGCAAGTTCTGTTTTCTCTAATTCTTTTGAAGATTCTTCCCCTAGCCTCAGTTACTCTTCTCACATGCATGCACTTATCAGTACTTTGCTGAGTGCTCCAGAGGAATCCTCTGCAGACCTCTGGAGTTCACACATACATATACACCCTATAGACAGAGGGAGAGAGTGTATGTGTGTGTATATATTGTCTTGTGTGTGTAGACATATATAGACATACATATGTATATGTATATATATAGACATACATATGTATATGTATATATGTATATACAATGTATATGAAGACAATATATACAAGTGTCTTCATTCTGGTACTCTTCTCTGTGAACTTCAGCTTCTGTGGACTCAACAGACCCTCAGATCCATCTTTTCAATTCTGGGAATTGGTTGGGCTCTGCTTAGATTCCTCCTCCTTGCATCATGACCTAGAAACTTTCTCTAGACAGTAAACTGGAACAATAGTAGGCCTAACCTCATTTGTTTCCTACCTTTCAGGGATCACTGCCCTTTTTTACTTGATGTCTTTTGCCTTAAAAACCATTTTCCAAATATATTTTAACCAAATTTTTTAGTTGATTCAGGATGGAGGGTAAATGTGGTCCCTGTTACTCCATCTTGACGTTAAGTGGCAATCACTGCCATGGTTTTGAATCCTTGATTTCTTTTTAAAATTTGACATGGAATGTGAATAAATTGAATGTGACAATGTAGATAATTGAAATAATTATCACAACTAGCATTAGCTTGTAAATGCTTAGTTCAGTTGTTCTAATCAATGAAGACTATTTATTAAATATATCATCCATGAACTCTAAGACTGAGAACAAATTTTTGTAAAGGAATTAATAATTGGTATGTACAGTAATAAATATTAATATTCTAATAGAAATCAGTTTTGTTCTACAAAATGTTTCATCAAAAGGTTTGTTTCAAGGTAATATCGTTCAACATATTTAGGCTTATAATTGCTGATTCTTAACTCTTTTTAAATAATACACTGTAGACTGCTTTGGGGGGTAGGGGACCTTATTCCCATCCAGCAACCTCTTTCTACATGTCAACGAACCATTTTTCTTAATGGTTCATACTTAACGCCATGGATGCTGCCACTAAATCACATATTCACTTTAATTTGGTTTAAATCAATTTAATAAATATTCAAGGTACACATACTGTATTAGGTATTAAATAGGTCAAAAAGATAATAAGATAGTTTCTTCCCCATGAGGAATTTATGATCTAGTACAAGAGTCAGCAAACATCATCTGCAAAGGACCACATAGTAAATATTTTAGGCTTGCAAGCCATAAGGTCTCTGTCACAATTATTCAACTCTGCAGTTGTTACACAAAGACAGCCATAGACAACATGAAAACAAATGAGCATGGTTATGTTCCAATAAAACCCTGATCCAATGGAAAAAAGCAGAGAAACACAACATAGAACAATAGATATATCACAAAGATGACCAGAAACAAGTGTCATGGGATGTCAAAGAAGGGAGATTCATATCTTAATACTTGATTTGTAAATACAATGAATTGGCTAGGTGCAGCACCTCACGCCTATAATCCCAGCACTTTGGGAGGCTGAGTTGGGAGGACTGCTTGAGGCCAAGAGTTTGAGACCAGCCTGAGCAACATGATGAGACCCTGACTCCACAAAAAATAAAAAATTAACTGGGTGTGGTGGTGAACACCTGTAGTCTCAGCTACTTGAAAGGCTGAGGCAGGAGGATAGCTTGAGCCTAGTTGTTCAAGGTTATAGTAAGCTATGCTTGCACCACTGCACTGCAGCCTGAGTGACAGAGTGAGACTGTATCTCTAAAACAACAACAACAACAACAACAAATGAATGATTTAAGAGAGGCAGCAATATCTAAGCTGATGTATTTAGACAGAATTACGAAAAGCAGGAATGACAGGGTGTATTAGTCCATTTTCACACTGCTATAATAAAATACCCGAGACTGGGTAATTTATAAAGCAAAGAGTTTAATTGACTCATAGTTCTGCGTGGCTGGGGAGGCCTCAGGAGACTTAAAATCATGATGGAAGGGGAAGCAAACACATCCTTCTTCACAAGGAAGCAGGAGAGAGAAGTACAGAGCAAAAGGGGAACAACCCCTTATAAAACCATATAGTGCATGAAAACTCACTTACTATCATGAGAACAGCATGGGGGAACTGCCCCCATGATCTAATTACCTTCCACAAGGTCCATCACCCAACACATGGGGATTACAATTCAGATTACAATTCAAGATGATATTTTATTTTTATTTATTTAATTTTTTGAGATGGAGTCTCACTCTGTCGCCCAGGCTGGAGTGCAATAGTACGATCTTGGCTCACTGCAACCTCCGCCTCACTGGTTCAAGCGATTCTCATGCCTCAGCCTCCCAAGTAGCTGGGATTACAGGCACCCACCACCATGCCCGACTAATTTTTGTATTTTTAGTAGAGACAGGGTTTCACCATGTTGGCCAGGCTGGTCTCAAACACCTGACCTCAAGTGATCCACCTGCCTCGGCCTCCCAAATTGCTGGGATTACAGGCGTGAGCCACCACACCTGGCCTCAAGATGAGATTTGAGTGAGGATATAGAGCCAGATCATATCACAGGAGAAAACCTGAAATAACTAACAGTGATGAGTAAGCACTGAAGATTTTGGGAAGAAGTACATAGTTCTGTTTGGCTGGTATGTTGATTATACTAAGGAGTGTAATAGAAAAATAAGGAAAATGTAAGGTCTTTGGATAAACCAAGGCAGAAATAATGTCTTCCTCTTGTAGACCTGCGAAGCTCCTGTCTTTGGTCTTTTATTTTATTCTGCCTTATATTATGGTTATTTTTGCACTTCTGTTTGTTCCTCTACTAGACAATCTTCACATTTAGGGCAGTGATTATATCCCATTCAACTTTGAATTCTCATTGTTTCTAGCACAGAGATAGAACCCAGCAGCAGAGCAAAAATATTGCATGGTTAGTAATGAAAACATCCACTTCAAGCCCAAACCATTTGGACTTATCAAATAGACATTGAGGTCCTACAGAAATGGTTTAAAGACTAGCCTACTGACAAGGAATGAAAATGTTCATTCCTTATATTAGCACCTTTATTTTTCAACAAGGGCTTTGGTTAGAGATCTTTCAACTTTATGTGCGTTAATTCCCTCATAATGTAGATTTGACCATATTAGCAGCCACTTGAAATACAACTTCTAAGTTGCAATTCTCCACAATCTGTTTCGAGGAGAGAATCCAGATGGATAAGTACTGGGGTTTTAGTTTTTAATCAAAAGGTTAATTAAGTGAATTAATCTTTATGTTTGAATACATTTTGCATGGAATTTGGAGTAAATAAATGGGTTAAAATCAAATCAGTATAATATTAAAATGAATACTAAAGCTTAGGAAATGAGTTAAAAGCTTATGCGTTCTATTATGTAGCAGCAGACAAAATTGTCTATGTCAAGTTTAACCTGAGAAGAGAGGAAAGCTGCTAATAAAGTATTCTCAAATCCTCCTGGAATCACTAGTATCGTCATAGAAATCATTTTTTAAAATGTATAATGTTTCACAGACATAGTTTCCAAGCAATTCTTTAAAGAAAAACACCAAGCAGTTAGCATTTAAATAAATCTTTTGAATTGCAATGAGAGTAAATAACTGCAGAATTATAAATGAGCTGTCATGTCCACTGAGAAAATGAAGACAGCAAAAATGGAATCTGACCACACACATGTGGCTGAGGGAAGAAGAGGCCGAGGATAATTTAATGAAGATTTTCTAGAAGCAAATAGTGCCACCATCCGTCATGAGGATCTGTTTCTATAACGCTTGTGTGTCTTTGAGACTACGTAGGTGGTAGCTTATGAGTAGTAATGTTCTTTTGTTAGTAAATGTCACCAAATAAGCAAATAAGAGAAACATGAAGGCCAAAAACTGTGTTACTATTCAGGAGAAAATGGACGGTTTAGCAACAATACAATGTAGACTTCAAAATATGAAAAATCAAGGAAATTTCTGTCATTGTCTTTAAGGGCCTCCAGAGAAGTATTAATTTGTTCTTTATGTGAATTTAATGAGATCATGTGAAATGTATGTCTCATGTTATGTCTATTGAAAACAATTCCTAGGGAGAAATTTTGGGTACTGTATATTTCCTATCCCCAAATCATGGGGATCAAACATTGCAGTTTGAATTGAGAGCAAAGAGATGCTTCCCCTTGTGCCCTAATAGAATCACTGCTCCTGGTATTTCCTGGACCAACTGAGATTGGGTCAAATGAATATGATAGGGTATGTCCAAGAAACACAGGAGCCAACTGAATGAGTTCCCAGTGACCAAAGCTGGAACTATTTAAGCAACAAAATAAGTAAAGTAGTATTGAATTATTACCCACATCGTAAAACAAATATCCATAAGGTCATACTGATATAAATAAATGATTGCATAAAAATAATTGAGGTAGAAAAAACAAATCTCCCATGCAGAATTCCAAATAACTCATATAGATATATTCTGCCCTCAAGGAGGTAGAGCATAACTCCCTATTACTTAAATGTGGGCTGCCCATAATGACTTCCTCCCATAGGGTACAGTATGGAAAGTAGAAAAAAGAGTAACTTTACAGTAGAGAAACCTGACAAATACGACCTTAGTCAGGTGATCAAGGTCAGTATCAACAATAAGTCATATTGATTGTATATAACCTCGGTATGATGTGATGAGAAGGGCACTTTATCTCTGTGGTCTTCCTTCCAAAAACATATAATCCCAGTCTAATCATGAGGAACACATCAGACAGTTCCCAATGGAGGGACATGTTACAAAATACCTGAGTGGTATTCAGCACTGTTAAGTTCATCAAAATTAAAGAAAGTCTGATAAAGTGTCACAGCTAAAGGGATCCTAAGGAGAGAATGATAACTAAATGTAACATGGTATCCTGGATGGAATCCTTGAACAACAGTAAGAAAAAAAGTTAGATAAAAACTAAGATATCAGTATTGATCTATTAGGTGTGATAAATGTACCACGCCATAGTAAGATGTTAACACTAGGGGAAACTAGGTGTGCGGTTTATGAAAACTGTATTATCTTTACAACTTTCTATAAATCTAAAACTATTCTAAAGTTTTTAAAGTTTATTTTAAAAAGTGATAAATATTTGAAAGCAACTGAAATGTCTCAGAATCTAAGAATGGATGTGTGCTTAGGCATTCAAAATGGACTGGAAGGCTGGAAAAATCTGGAGGAATCCTCTTTCTCTGTCTCTGAATAAGAGACCTAATTTGTTCTATTCTCTCTCTCATTCTTCCTTGTCCCTTATCCACAAAAGGTAGAAAGCCTGGCTATGGACAGTGCCAAGATATTCATGTTAAAAAAAATACTAGACACCTGGAGAGGAACTGCTCTTTCTTTTGACCCAATTCCACATTCTCAGAGGAAAGGATCATTCACTTTGAGGCAGGAGTTCACTTCTGATTCCTATCATCTGTGATGGGGGTAGGGTCAGGGAAGGGACTCTGATTAGCCTAGCTTAGGTCCCCTGATCACCCTGGACAAATGAATTGCCATCAAGTGAGTAGAGTTACATGTATGTACCTGACTTCCCAGTGTATCACCCCTGTGGATGGTGGGGAACTATGGGGGAGGTGGAATGAGAAAGAAAAGGCGCTTCTCCCAGGATGAAAAGTGGTGGAAAGGACAGAACAGGTTCCACCCAATAAAGCTAAAGGAATAAAAATAAAGTATCTAAGTGAGAGAGGGAGTAGACTTAATATGAAACATAAATATTTAGCACTTCTGAAAATATGCAGGTCTAAAATCTTCTATCCACACTTATGAAATCTCCTAAGCTCTGAAAACCAAAAGGTTTCCCACAGCTCATTTGGCAGCAAAACCTGTTCTGAACTGATGGGAGGCTAATTATAGGCTTTGCATATCCCATTTAGTGTGAATATTCATACTGTTTTCCAAAGAAATATTAATGTGTTTGATTACAGGGTCTTCCCCAAGCCCCACTGGGAGTAAGGGGCATGTAATACATTGTATACGTCACAGTATTACCTTAATAAAATCTGAATAACTCTGAGTTACAGTGCATAATTGCTCCCACAGGTTTCATATAAGGGATACATTTATAATACTACACATAATCACATAAATAAATGTCCATTTTTATGTAGCTCTGAAAACAAGAACCACAAAAATAAAAACCATACAAGAAAACAAACATGCTCTTTTTTTAAACCATCTGAAGAAGTCCTGGATATAAGCAAGGCTAATACTAGTATTACATTTTAGAAATAAAAGAGGGGTACTTAGAGAAGATTTTACTAGAGACAGGGTAGGGTCTGAGTACCAGGTCTCCTAACCAGTAATCCAATGTCTTTGAACTGCCACCCTGCATTTCAGATGAAAAAGGGTTATTGAAATGGCATTGTTAGCATGTAGGTAAAAGGGTAACAAAACAACTTAATAGGTGGCTTCTTTGATATTTGGAGAAGTATGAAAAGGAAGGTTTGCCAAGGATTTTTGGGGAGGGTGGTGGTGGGAGGATGGAGTAGAGTTGACTATATAGGAATCTGCACAATGTACTTTCAAAACCTATAATTATAACTTTTGCCATATCTTCAAAAAAACCTATTTTCATGGTATTTTTCCTTGCTTTTGCAACTAACAGCTTTCATGATCTTCTTTATTATTTATATGAAGGCCAAGTTTCAAATATTGTTTCTCATTCAAATAAACATGTGGCCATTTACTAATGAGGAATTTTATTTTGTTATTTTTACATTAATGGTAATAATGAAATATTATTTTTATCCTTCCATAAACCAATGATTTCCATTACTTTTGGGTTTGAGGACCTTCCTTTTAATATCAAAATATGCCATGTCTCCTAGATGAAAGTAATTTTATGTTTGGTATCAACTTCCTGAAAATATAATTGCAAACACAAAAAGCTACTATGAATTCAGGTACATTCACACCAGCACCTATATGCATTTGATAATTAGGAGCATATAAATAGAAAGTATAATATTTATTCTACTCACAATGTGTTGTGGAAATATGAATTCCTAGAAATGTCTAAATCTCCTTGTATTATAGTCCATTCCTGTTTTGACTAATTTAATAAAATTTACTAATATTAAAAGCCAAACAGAGTAAATGGAATTTAAAATATATATTTGATATATAATTCAAATACCATAATGTGCTTAGAATAATGCCTCTCACAAAAGTAGGCACTCAATAAACACTTGTTGAGTGAATACCTAAATACTCAAATTCTTGGTGAGGCAGTCTTCTACAGTAGATAAAACATCCAGGGTTCATACTTCCTTGGATCTGAATCCTTTGTTGCTGGTAAATACCCTTGATCAAGCCAATTATTACACTTGCTACCTCTTAAGGCTGCTGTAAGGTCTTACATGATATATTCCGTAAGTAAAGTCTAATGTGGAATATTCAATAAAAGGTAATTATCTTTCTCTCTCTTCCTTCAAATTCCTGCTAATCTTCCTCAAGGAGTCACTCAAACTTCCTTCCCAGGAGACTCAATGGGAACCACTTCCCAGTGCTGAGAAATATGACACTGTAGACCTTATCCCTCATGAGGGCAGAGAACCATTGTGTACCCAGCACAGCAGACATCTTGGTATGAAGCAGGTGTTCAATATGTATTTGTTGAATGAATAACTAGAGGAAAATTAAGAATTTCCCAATGGAGGAAATCCTGTATCAGACAAGGAAATCCTTAACATTTAAATAGTTAAATTAGGCAACTTAACAGTCTTAGAGGAAAATTCCCTCCTGCACTGCAATTACTTATGTTTTTCTCTATTCAGTGACAATGCTTCCCTATTTTAGTGCCAGTGTGGGAACCCCAGGGACAACTGTCAAAACCAGCTCTTCAGTTCTGTGCCCTGTGCTTTCTACCCCTCAAACACTGCACATCATTAGCAATGCTGAGACTTGTGTTGCCTTTGTAAAATTTCTAAATTCTAACAAATGCCTGGAGACCCTACCAAAACAACTGAAACTGGTGTAAACTTGAGGAAAGTTTACTCTCATTTAAATAAATCCCTGTTTGTTCACTTGCCTTATTTGTTCTTTTTACTGTGAATGTTTTCATATAGATATTTAAAAACTTTATTACTTGGCAGAATATTTGTAATGATACAAAGAACTGCTACACAGATGTTAAAAATATTCATAGTAAAAAGTTTTTAAATGATATATAGAACAAGTATATTTCATATGTGAATTTCACATATTTGGTGATCCAAGTAGTATTCCCAATTGGAAGAATACCTTGCAACTCTGTTCCTATGCCATTGCATGGTTTCTCCTTCTTTGCATTGTCACAGTATAGTAATGCCCAACCCAAACCATGGCATGTGGATACACATTTTAAATTGATATAATTTTTAATGTTTGCTTTCCTTAAGGATTTGTGTTTATTTTTTTTTTAAAGCAAGTCTTAAACTTCCCACTACTTTGCCAAGAGATAGGCAATATACAACAGGCACTTTTAAGAAAGGAAACGTGCAATGCCTCACCATGTTTGCTTGGAAGATCCCTAACATTACGTGGTAAACTCATCACAAAAAAACGTAATCACTCAGCAAATATATTGCTTGTACCATGAGCAAAGGAATATCATGCAAATGAAAAGAAAATAAAAAAGAGCTAAAATGTCCTGTTCTATCGCAAGTAAAACATTTGTCAGACACAAAGTCTTCTTTTCCTTTTTCTCAGAGTAAAACATATACATTAAAATGCATAAAATGCCCATGTACATTAAAATGCCATAAAATGTTAAGGGTACAATTCATAAATTTTTATATATGTATACATTTCAGATCAAGATATGGAATATTTCTAGTGTCCTAGGGGTAACTACTGTTCTGACTTGTTTAACTATTGTTACTTTTGCCTCTTACTGAACTTCATATAAATGGAATTTTGCAGTTCGTATTCTTTCATAACTGGCTTCTTTCACAAAACTCAATCCCTGTGGGATGTATCTGTGTTGTTTGTATAACTGTAATTTTTTCCCTTTTGTTGTCCGTTCTCCTGTTGGTGGGCATCACTTCCAGGTTTTAGATTATTATGTATTAAATCTTCTATGAAAATTTGGTACATACTTTTGATGGACATATGCACACGTTTATCTTGACAATATATATATATATAGGAGTAGAGTTGCTGGGCTATAAGGTATTGACATGCTTGACTCCAGTGTGTATTGACAGTTTTCCCAAGTGGTTGACACAATTTACAGTCCCCTAGCAAAATATGAGAGTTCCAATTGCTCCACATCCATGTCAACACTCATTATTGTCAGGTTGCTACTTTTTTCAATGTAGCCATTCAGATGACGTTTAGTGGTAGCTCATTGTGGTTTTAACTGGCATGTTCCTAACTACTAATGATACCAAGAAAACACCTTATCACATGCTCAGTAGCCATTTAGTTGTCTTCTTTTGTGAAGTGCTTGATCCAACTTTTTGCTCATTATTTTCTTACCCAAGCACAAGTCTGGATTTGAACTCTTTATCCAAGTACTCTATGTTGAGTTCTACATGATTTTAATAAAACAGTCTAATTAAGTTTTTCATAGGTAATAATTTTTGCCTTTTTTGAAATTCTCTGTGGTGTTTTCAAAAGCAGTGGTTTTAAAAGGACCATTTTTTCAAGAGCAGCATTCTATATGGCAGGAATTCTGTCTTGCATATATTATCAGAAGTAAGATAAAATCCCACAGTTTGGTGGTTCAGATGAGATATTTGGGTTCAAGCCATATGAAGTTAGTTTTATTTACATACCTCTGATACCTCATCTATAAAATGAGGATAATAATAGGACCTGCCTCATAGTGTTGAGGAGATCATCGGAATAGACCTACATGAAGCTCTTTGGGTGATGCCTAGTACATTGAAAGCCCTCATTAAGTTTGGCTATTGGTAACATTCTTGGGGTGTCATATTAGGCCCTCATTGTGTCCGTTAAGGTTAGAACATTATCCAACACACTGGGGAAACATTCACGTGTTGATCTGGACCACTCAGACATAAACTGGGTGGATTGGGTCTGAATCTCCAGGTCTAGCTGTGTGAAATGACCACTGAAATGATTACTGAAGCCTGTTGTAAATGTACTTTCTGGTCCATCTGGCTTTTCAGACCCACCATATGCCTAATGGCTCTGTTGGTATATGAGTTAGGAGGGCCCATGCCAAATTATACATATTCGTGACTGGTAAATTGTTCAGTCTGGCTCTGGGTAGAAACTAAAAGATTTAGGAGGGAAAGAGCAGCTCCCTTTACAGGCAGCCCAAGACACAGGAGCACTTTAATAAAATAGAAACTTAGGTTCCACAAGAATCATCTTGTAAAATCTGCAGTAACACTCCTATAAAGGTTATATATTCCAGGGCATCCAAGTGGCCAGAGAAAGCAAGTCAAATGTGACAGGAGAGGAAATTGCCTAAATAAGAGAACCTCCTCTCTGCCAGTAACTTACAGGGGGCCATGGGGTTTTTCTCTCATTAAGTCCATCTGCCTGGGCTGGGTGCCTGGCAGTTCTTCTGCTAATGAGAATCTGCTCTTCCTAATACTGGAAGAAATAAGTCTTCATCTCTACCTCTTTGCATGTGCCAGTGGCATGTCAGAAACAATTTTTCTGTGCATTTCAAGGCACAGCTAAGTATGATTATTCAGTCACCCAGCTCCTTGGCCATTGGATGCAGAGGACAGAGAACAGCGCTGACTGCCTGTCCTTCTTCTGCTGAGTCATTGGATTTCAGAAGGGAATCACATCCTTTATCAATCTATGCCATCAAGATATTAGCTTCCCATAAATGCTTATGTGAAAATGTGCAATGATTTGCATCTGGTCATGATTTTTTTTTTTTTACAATACATCATGTTATAGCTATATTAATTTCTTACTATTATATATCCATATAGCATGTAATTGTTTTTATTTTGCTTAGTTTTTTTCAACTTTCTACTTCCTGAATTTTAAGAAATTGACACAGGAATTATTTGGCTCAAGGGAAAAATAGACTTTGAGTCCTTTTGCATATTCTTATTGATCAGGTATGGTAGGCAGATTTCTAAAAATCCCTTTTCCCATCAAGATTACATGCCCTTTTCCCCTAGAACCAGTGAGCTGATAAGATATCATGTCCATGATTGCATCATGGTATATGGTACAGTTGACCCTAAAATAGGAAGATCATCTAGGTGGGCCAGATCTAATCAGACTATCCCCTAAAAACAGAGATATTTCTGGCAGAAGAGAAAGTCAGAGAGATTTGAAGCATAAGAGAGATTCAGCTGTGGCTTGAAAATAGCGGTAACCACAGGAGAAGGAATGTTGGCAGCCTTAAGGGATTGAAAGAAGCCCCTGGATGACAGCGATCAGGGAAACAGGTATGTTAGTTGTGTAACTGCAAAGAACTAAATTCTGCCAATAATAGGAATAATAACCTTGGAAGAGGACTCCAAGCTCCAGGTGAAAACACAGCTGGTTGATGCATTGAATTCAGCATTGTGAGACACAAAACACTCAGCCATGATGTGTCAGACTTCCAGCCTACAGAAGTGAGCTGATACATGGGTGTTGCTTTACACCACTAAATTTGTGGTGATATGTTAGGCAGCAATAGAAAAGGAACATACCTGGTTTCTTCTCATTGCATTCTTTTAAATGGCTGACCAGTAGATGATAATTGGGTAGAAAAAATTAAATGGCCTGAGAAATACCCGGGGTTAGTTTGGGTTATTTGAAATCATGGGGTTATTTCACTAGAAAGAGACTCCAATTGACACCATCATGCTCATAATTATTGCAATATAATTGAGACAAGGAAGAAAGAACATCAAGTCTGCCAGTGCTATCATAAGAGTTCACCAGGTGCTGAGTTTGACAACCATTTTTCCTTCAAATTTGAATTATACCAGGAATGTTATTTGCTTTTTGAGCTCTCCTTTTATATTTGGTGTATAGAGTGCTTCCCCATTCCTGTAACAACATAGGCAAGGTTCAGTAGTGCCATGACAGCTCCATCAATGCAATGGGAACATGTTGACATTACATGTCTTTGTCACAAAATCCACTATTAAAACATACATAGCCTAGGTGTCACAAGGTGCTAGAAAAGTGGAAGGTGGGAAGTGGTGATTAAAAATATTAAATGATTTCCAGAATTACATTACAGGAAACTATAATATATGGATCCAGAAATCCTGGAAGAGAAACAGGATGAAAGGATGGGTCCTGGGTGTGTCTAACACAGAGCTAAAATAAGAAACTGTTGAGAGAGAAGAATACACTTCTCTGTCCCAGCAGCTCCTGGGAAGAGATGTGTAGGCCTTCTACTCTGGTGTGGTCCACTCACCTTGGGCTCTGCTTTCCATGATGTGCCACCAATCTTGCTGGATTTTCTCTACACTCCTGACCTCCTTTGCCCTTCTTCTGTGGCCAGGAACAGAGCCCTTTCAGTTCTCAGGATAAGATTTTTTTCAGAAAGATTTCCCCATAATAGTGCCCAAATAGTGCTGTTTTCCAAAGCACTCTCCTCAACAGAGGTCACATCTCTTGCTTTGTTGGATGAGTTTAGATAGACTAGTGGGATAGTCGAATGAAGAAATACAGTAGTTTTTTTTAGGAAGAGGGAAACTGAGGGTCATGGATTTTCATAAATGAAGGGGGCAATCTAGATATTTAGAAAATCCCTCTTTCAGAGACTATGCTAAGCTTTCTAAATATTATAATAGATATATTCTTTACAGAAAAAAGTGTGGTTTTCATGACCTGCTACTTCAAATGAGATAAGAACTATGGCATTCTCTACAGCCAAAATCTCAAAATAAAAAGCCCAGGGTGTCAAATCAGGGTGATTTATTTTATTATCCTTACTCACAGTGTTTCTTTTGCCTACATAAGATTTTAGAGAATGGATTTTATTGCTTTTTTTGTTCAAATTAACATGCTTTTAATAAAACTAGAAGGCTTGTTCTACCAAGCAATAATTTTATTCCCTACCTAAACGAGTGGTTCTAAATTATCTAAAGTATTACTCTGTCCTTAAACATTCTTGCTAGTCAAATGCTGATTTGAGGGAAAGACAAACAGAAGAAAATAATTCAGTTCAGTATCGGCTTTTCAGTTTGATAAAAGCAATTTCTTTCCTACTTGCTTATCTTCTACCTTTCTAGTGCTGAACTCTAGTACTAATCACAGCACTTTAACGGGTGTTGTAAATGCTGTTCACGGTTGGATCTCTGAAAACATAATACTTAAGCCTTCATCTTCAATGTGAAGAAGAATTTGGATGGTAGCACGAATAAAATTGTGGCCTGCACAACTTTACTATATGGCCATTAATGAGAAATGTTGGTTTTAAAAAACTGATGTGACTTCCATGATCCATATTAATAGCATAGGTAGGTAAAGATGAACAGAAACTCCATGTTTGCTCTGTGCATGGTTTGATTAATTGACTTGGGTAGACAAATGATGATTGTAGGGTGGAGGGTATATATTTCCTTGATTTGAGCCACAAACCCTCTTTACATACAGATCAAAGTGTCTAATACATAGTCTTCCTTTCCTTATACTAGTAAAGGTGAGAATTTAGTTGATGCTTTCATTTTTCTCTTCTCCATTCCTCATGGCTGCACATGGTTCATATTTTTATTGGGTTCTACTTCCCAGTATCTTCCTCTGGGATGGATCATCTATTTGTCAACAGAAAATGAGAAAATTATGGAGAAATGACAGTAAACTCTATGTTCCCTCCTTTCCTCTGAGCTCATAATTAGACACCGTGCCCAAATATACGTGCAAATGGCAGAGCCATTTTTCAAAGCAAAATACTTTGAACATAGATCCAAACAAAACACAACTCTAAATTCATTATCTCACCTCTTTGCAATTAACCTAAAGGAGAAACCAGAGCAAGAACACACCACAGCTTTCGGTGGAGTCCACCTGGGGCTTGCTGGACTTGGTGCATCATTAGATAACTTGTTTTCCCACAGAGTGAGATAGATGTGCCTTGAACAATAATTAAAGGGCTTTCATCTGTTGGGTTAATTAAAACTGCCCATTTGTTTGCCTATTCCCATGCTTTGCTGTCTTCCTTGTACAATACCTCCATTGATCCTCTGTGAGCTGAGAAGTATCACAAATTTAGTCTACAAAAAATTAGCTCTTCTACCTTCCAACCTGACTGCATGAATACACCATTAAAGCACTTCCTCTGAAAAAAGTGGAGACAGTTGGACAATGCTCCAGAAGACCATGATTAAGTAGTTAGGGAGGGGAATTACATTATCCTAAGAAATAAAAATAGCCAATTTAATTGCATGCCAATTATGTACCAAGCCCTCTTCTAAAAACGATTTCTACATATTATGTTATTTAATGCTTAACACAACCCCATATGGTGAAGACACTGCTATTATACATGAAGAAATTAAAGCCTACAGAGATTAATTGTCTAGACTTAGACTG
The DNA here is from genome assembly GCF_000001405.40 of Homo sapiens. Taxonomy (NCBI): domain Eukaryota; kingdom Metazoa; phylum Chordata; class Mammalia; order Primates; family Hominidae; genus Homo; species Homo sapiens. The sequence goes on from NC_000023.11 coordinate 14,646,219, forward strand.
CATAGCCAGTAAGTGGCAGGGACAAGATGAGAACCTAGAGATTTATAATTCTGAAGCCATGTGCATTATGGCTCCATTCTAGGTTCCTTTAATTGGCACAAAATACTGTACTTGTATTGACTGCTTACTTGGTACTGGGCATTGTTTTGAATTCTTTACCTGATTAATATTTTAATTAACTAATTTAATCAAACAACAAATGAGGCAGGGACTGTTACTAGCCCATTTTATAGTTTCATAAACTGAGGTAAGAGAATCTCAGTAACTTGCTATCTTCAGAAAGGACGTATGGCAGAACTAGAATTTGAATTCAGAAAATCTTGCTCCAAAGACTGCACTTTTAACTGCTACCTCTCCCTGTATCACTAAATAACTAATTTGAACCTTTCTTGTGATAGGAAGTCAGCAAAGTAAACTTAATTTGAGGAGCCAGTCTCAGTCTCATACCAGTCCAGTGGACTTGAAAGAGGATAACTGGGATGTGCAGGTAGACATACGATAGAGAAGACTTAGGGTGATATAGTCCAGAGGTGGGAGTTTAACAAAGGTAGAGAGAATCAATTAGTGGAGAAAGGTATGTATCCCAGTGGCAATAATTTCACAGCTTTACCTAGGGAGGCACGATCTTTTAATTGTGTTAAAAATAAGAAGTGACAGTTTACTCTGGGCTTCCACTTTCCCTTCTTGCCGTATGTGTCCCAGGACCTTGTAAAAGACAGTGACAACCACCTTGGGGCAGGGCTTTACAACTGCAAAACCTGATTAAATCAAGCAAAATAGGTCAACATTCCGCCTTCATATTAGCTGTACAGAGCCTGACACGGGGAAGCATGAACAGATGTTGGGCAGTGCACAGAGGGATCCAAAAGCATCTAATTAAACACAGAGAAAAGTGCAGAAGGAACCAGGAGAGTTACAAGCTCAGGGCTCACCTTGGTACAGGGAGATTCAGGAGCCAAGAGCCATTGGAAGTAACACCAATGTGGGTGCCCCAGAACACATTTGTCCCAAACATTTGTCTTCAGCTGTGGGGCTGACAGATGCATGAATTTAAGCTAAAGACTGATTTCAATCATGCTTATAAGAGTTTGTATAACATGTTAAATTTACAAATGACTTTCCCATCCATTGTATTATTAATTTCCAGAGCAGCCTTCAAAGACAGGCAGGAGTAGATCTCCTTTACAAAGGAGGCAATTAAGGGTCCAAGCTCTACTACCAGTGCTTGGCAGTACCAGAGTCGGAATCCATTTCTTATAACTCCCAGTCTGTGTATACATAAGGCTGAACAGGGCAATGTGGAGAAAGGGAAAACAGGAGACCAATGGGACCCTGCTAATAGAGGAAAACATGCTACAAGTCAGGAGAATGGGTATTAAGAGAAAAATGGTGAGAAGCTAAGGAAAAACACCATTTATTTTATTTAAGGTAAAGATGGATGGATATTTGTGGTTATGTAGATGAAGAAGCATTCACATTTATGTGGTCATTTATCTAGTCAGATCATGGGAAGGTACATAAAAGTGGTGGCTTTTGAGATGGCTATGATATTCTTAGGGAGAAATGAAGTAGAGAGAATTCCAAGGTGAAAGAGATAGCTTGAATGAATGTAAAAACGTAGAAATTAAGGGCATAGATGAAGAAAAATGAATTGTCCACTTTAAGTGTTGCAATGGATATGTAAAAGGAAATAGTGAAAAACAAAGCTGGAAAGGTTGGAGGATAATATCATAGAATCCTTTAAATGCCAGGCTAAATAGTCTGATCTTAATTCATTAGGCTTTGAAAAGCCAACATTAGTTTACAACATGGAAGTAACACAATGTCTGCCTCATGAAATTCTTGTGAGATTTTAATGAGAAGTTGATGCAAAAATGCTTTGTAAAAATATTTAATAAATTAATATAATTGTATTCCTTTGTTTATGTAACAAGTACTTATTGAGAGTCTGTTATTTATTAGGCATGGTCTAGGCATTTTACATAAACAAATAAGACTTATCACTATGCATTGAAGCTTACAGTCTAGTGGGGAAAATGAACATTTAAATAAATAATCACGTACTCTAAGGTAAGTGTACATATGATATTATGAAAATACAGAGGGTTTGATGAACTCTTCCTGGAAGAATCACATGGGAAATGATATTTGAAATAAATCTTGAATAAACATAGATCTAAATAAAGTAGCTAAAATTATTAACTTCTAGAAGAAAACAGCAGGGAAAATCTCTGAGACATTGGGTTAGAGAAAGTCTTCTCAGATCACAAAAACACAAACCATTAAAAAATGATAAAATAGACTTTATTAAAATTAAACTAACATTTAAGAAAATGCAAAAGCAAGCCATATACTTGGAGAAGATATTTGTAAGACACATAACTGAACAGAACGCTTATATCCGAAACACAAAAAAGAGCTCTTAAAAACAATGGGCCAAAAAATTTCAACAGACCCTGCCAAAGAAGGTATACAAATGGCCAATTTAGCCTAATTTAACTTAAATTTAACAATTTAATGCTCAACATCATTAGTACTAGGTTAATGCAAAATAAAATCATGAGATATCATTATACACCTACTAGAATGGTTAAAGTTTAAAAGAATGATTAATGTTGGTGAGAATGTGGAGCAACTGAAATCCTCATGCACTTCTGGTGGAAATGCAAAATGTTTAAAAATAATGTGGTAGCGAATTATAAAATTAAAAAATATGGCTGGGCGCAGTGGCTCATGCCTGTAATCCCAGCACTTTGCAAGGCCGAGGCGGGCGAATCACAAGGTCAAGAGATCGAGACCATCCTGGCCAACACGGTGAAACCCCGTCTCTACTAAAAATACAAAAATTAGCTGGGCGTGGTGGCACGTGCCTGTAGTCCCAACTATTCGGGAGGCTGAGGCAGGAGAATCGCTTGAACCCAGGAGGCGGAGGTTGCAGTGAGCCGAGATCGCGCCACTGCACTCCAGCCTGATGACAGAGTGAGACTCCGTTTTTTAAAAAAAAAAAAAATTAAAATATACTTACCATGTAACACAATGATCCTATTCCTAGGTATTTACCCAAGAGATATTAAAATATACATCTACACAGAGACTTGTATATGAATGTTCAGAGTAGTAATTTTTACAATATTCCCAAATACACAACCCAAATTCCATCAGTAGTAGGATGAGTATGAATACTGTAGTGTATCTATACTATGAACTTTAAGAGTATAAGGACTGGTGGTGATCATTAAATATATGTGTACCTATAGAACTAAAACTAAATTATGGCTATAAAGAAGAAAACATAGTAGATAATGGCTTTATGTTCTGACAATGCAGATACAGTACATCTAGCAAGAATTAGAGATGGAGAAGAATAAACTCATGACCTTGTAATTTAAAAAAGTTAGGCCACTTTAAATTAATTGTATTTTTAATGTTGAGAGATTAAAATAACTTTTAAAGTAAATAAAGTCCAAGACGCAATACATGATATTTCTTCCTAATATTTAAGTTTTCTCTGACCTGCCTAATCTGACTCCAAATATTCCTAAGTCTTCTTCCCTACCTCTCATCAGGATACATGGATTTTTACTGCTTACTCTAAAAAACATGGAGTTTAAAAATGTTAAGCAGATATAAAATGATTTTCTAAAAGTTGATCATTAAAACACTTCATTGTTCTGAATTAGTTGACAACTATGAAATGATTGTTCAATGCAAAAATTCTAGGTAAGCCAAAAAACTACCAAGTTACAGATTCATATGACAAATAATATTCAAGCCCAGGTAGTATTGTGTTGCATACATTAAAGCTTAATAGGAATATTTTAGTTTCTGATTATCACAGGACTACTGAACTAATCATCTTCAATAATTAATAAAACATTGGTGCGAGGAAAACAAAATCTAAACACACCATAATTACTATAGGGAAATCTTTGATGCAATATTACAATATATAATAAATAACAATTTTGAAAGCTTTTTAAAACTGTGTTTTAATCACGTTTGCCTCCATTAAGCTGCTAAGTTAATTAAATAGGCAAACCAACTTGAGACAAGGAAATTGATTTTCTACATAGGACACTCTCAACAGAGTAGCAGACATAAGAAAACGATCAATTTTTCTTCATGGTGTGCAAATTAAGTTCTGTTCAGAAAAAAAAAAACAAAATCCCTGTTTCCTTGTTCTCTTCTGCTCTTTTGTTCTTTAGTGACAGGTTAATCAAATAAATATGGCAGGAAGGGAAAATACATCTGAATATTCCCTGTACCTTTCACTTTCGGGAAGTCTCTAGTGTCAGAGAGAGCTTCCAACCACTCCTTCCAGCCTCCTCTCTAACAAAGCCTGGGCACCCAGGCTTTCTACCCATTGAGAAATTCTAGCAGCAATCTATTTACCATGGACCAAAAAAAATGTAACTTGTGCATTGCAATTTTTAATTATAATAGACAGTCTATTCCTTTGTCTTCCCTTTCATCACAATTTCCCCCATCTCCACACCTTTCCCAGGTGCACAAGGGTCTTACTTTCATTTGCATCCCAAAAGAGAAATCAGGAGGATCCACATTTGCCTGTATTTATAAGGCTAGAGAAAGCTTAACTGTGGCATCCCAAGCTTGAACTCTCTGACATGGGATTTTATTGTTTTAAGGACTTCATCAATGTCCACTTATAATCTGGAATAAGTGAATGGAGGGATCTTTGCTTTGATGCATAAAAATCAAAAGAATATCCCTTTGTGAATTCTGATGCTGAAAATGTGTTCTTGTTTGGAGGGTAGAAAAGGGGAATTTTCCTATGTCCTTTGCTTATTATGACATTAGTAAAGATCGCTATAGTCCAGAACATATATGTCAACAGTCCAACTATCATAGTGTAGTATTCGCTGTAGTGTGCCATCTCTGAGATAATTTTGTACAAACATGAATATATTTTTTACTCTTTTGTTGAATGTGAACCACACCAAGACATTTATCACTTGCAAAAGAACTTGTAGGGCTTCATGAGGGAAGAATTTTTGAATACATAAAATTCAAGCAGGAGCTTTAAATAATTCCAGAAAACTGTTTTCCCATACTTTGTAATTCCAAAGCTGGGGATAGGAAGCAGTGTAGTTTTTTTAGATGTAAATATCTGAGTTGTGAGAAATTTCAAAGTAAAATTGATATTACATTATTATATAATTATTATAATATACAGTCATGTACCACACAATGAGCTTTTTGGTCAACGATGAACCACATATACAATGGCAGTCCCATAAAAGCATAGTACTGTATTTTTACCATGTGTTTTCTATGTTTAGGTATGTTTAGATATACAAATAGTTACCATTATGTTACAGTTGCCTACAGCATTCAGTAAAGTAACATGCTGTACAAGTTTGTAGCCTAAGAACTATAAGATATGCCATATAGCCTAGATGGGTAGTAGGCTATACAGTCTAGGTTTCTATAAGTACAATCTATAATGCTTGCACTTCAAAATTGTCTAACAACACATTTTGCAGAATGTATCCCCATTGTTAGGTGACATGTGATTGTATATAGCCTAATGCCATGTTATTATATCCAGATATCCCCCAGTAAAATCAGATCTATTATGAAATAAATGTTTGTGTCTCACCAAGATTTCTTGTTGAAACCCTAACCTCCAATGCGACGGTATTTGAAGATGGGGCCCTTTGGGAGGTAATTAGGTTGAGATGAGGTCATAAGAGCAGGGCTCTCATAATGGAATTAGTGCCTTTGTAAGAAAAGACACCAGAAAGCTTACTTGCTCTCTTTCTCTCCCTCCCCATATGAGCACACAATGAGAAAGCAGCCATTCACAAGCCAGGAAGAGGACCCTCAACAGAACCTGACCGTGCTGGGACCTTGATCCCAGACTTTCAGCTTCCCGAACTGTAAAAGAATGATTTTCTGTTGTTTAACACACAAGCTATGGTGTTTAATTATGGCAGTCAGAGCTGACAAAGGCACTAACTTAGAACATATTCAACTAACTTTGCTTAGTGTGCTTTACCTAGACTGTCATCTAGCCACTGCTTTGCTTGTCTGAGCAGAAACTGAGTCAGGGGATTACCGGACATAAGTAAGGGCAGAAAATCATCCTGGTGTCCTTGACACAGCAGAATAACATTGTTTTTGTTGTCCCTCTGCATTTCTCTCCACATATATAGGCGTATCTCATTTTACTGAACTTTATTGCATTTCACAGCTATTGCATTTTCTACAAATTGAAGATTTGTCGCAACCCTGCACCAAGCAAGTCTATAAGCACCCCTTTTCCCACAGCATGTGCTCACTTTTTCTCTGTGTCATATTTTAGTAATTCTCACAGTATTTCAAACTTGTTCATTATTGTTATGTCTGTTATGGTGATTTGTGATCAGTGATCTTTGATTTTACTATTATAATTTTTTGGGGGTACCAGGAACCATGCCCATATAAGATGGTAACTTAATTGATCAATGTTGTGTGTGTTCTCACTTCTCTATGAACCAGCTGTCCCCCAGTCTCTCTCCCTCTCCTCAAGCTTCCCTATACCCTGAGACACAGCAATATTGAAATTAGGCCAATTAATAACCCTACAATGGTCTACATGTTTAAGTGAAAGGAAGAGTTGCACATCTCTCACTTTAAATCAAAAGCTAGAAATGATTAAGCTTAGTAAGGAACGTAAGTAAAAATTCAGAATAGGTTGAAAGCTAGGCCTCTTGTGCCAAACAGTCAAGATGTGAATACAAAGAAAAAGTTATTGAAAGAAATTAAAAGTGCTACTCCAGGGAACACCTAAATGAATATTTAGGCTCACTGTTGAGATCCACTGCTCAGAAAAAAAAAAAGATTCTTTTCAAAATATTACTGGTCATTGACAATGTACCTGGTCACCCAAGAGCTCTTATGGAGAGGTACAAGTAGATTAACATTTTTTTTTAATGCCTGCTAATACAACATCCATTCTGCAGCCAATGGATCAAAGAGTATTTTCAACTTTCAATTCTTACTATTTTTTAAAAAATGAATTTCATAAGACTATAGCTACCATAGACAGTGATTCTTCCAATGGATCTGGGCAAAGTAAATTGAAAACCTTCTGGAAAGGATTTACCATTCTAGATGCCATTAAGAACATCTGTGATTCATGGAAGGAGGTCAAAATATCCACATTATCAGGAGTTTGGAAAAAGTTGATTCTAACCCTCATGGATGACTTTGAGGGGTCTGAGACTTCAGTGGAGGAATTCACTGCAGGTGTGGTGGAAATAGCAAGAAAACTAGAATTAGATGTGGAGCCTAAAGGTGTGACTGAATTGCTGCAATCTCATAGTAAAGTCTGAATAGATGAGGAGTTGATGAAGAAAGGAAGTGGTTTCTTAAGATGCAGTCTACATCCTGGTGAAGATACTGTGAACATTGTTGCAACAACAAAGGATTTAGAATATTCCATAAACTTAGTTGATAAAGCAGTGGCAGGAGTTGAGAGGATTGAATCCAATTTTGAAAGAAGTTCCACTGTGGGTAAAATGCTATCAAACAGCATCACATGATACAGAGAAATCTTTCGTAAAAGGAAGAGTGAATCAACACAGCAAACTACATGGTTGTCTTATTTAAAGAAATTGCCAGCTGGGCACAGTGGCTCATGCCTGTAATCCCAGCGAATTGGGAGGCTAAGTAGGGAGGATCACTTGAGGCCAGAAGTTTGAGACAAGCCTGGGCAACATAGCAAGACTGTGTCTTTACAAAAAGTTTGAAAATAAGCCAGGCATGGTGGTGTGCCCCTATATTCCTAGCTACTGGAAAGACTGAGGCAGAAGGATTGCTTGAGCCCAGGAAGTCAAGGCTGCAGTGAACTATGATCGTACCACTGCACTCCACCCTGAGTGACAGAATGAGACCCTGTCTCTTAAAGAAACAAAACAAAACAAAAATCACTGAAATTACCACTGTCACCCAACCTTCAGCAACCACCACCCTAAGCAGTCAGCAGCCATCAATGTCAAGACAAGACCACATCACACCCTCTACCAGCAAAAAGATTACAACTCACTGAAGGCTCAGATGATTGTTAGTATTTTTTAGCCATGAAGTATTTTTAAATTAAGGTATGTACATTGTTTTTTAGACATAATGTTATTACATTGTGCTATGTTTTAGACATAATGCTATGTCTAAAATTTTAGACATTTTTAGACATAATGCTATTGCATATTGCTATTGCACACTTATTAGACTATAACTTTTATATGCACCAAGGTACCAAAAAGTTTGACTCACTTTTTTGCAATATTCACTTTATTGCAGTGGTCTGAACCAAACCCACAATATTTCTGAGGTATGCCTGTAGTTAGCATGTGGGCATGTTTTCTATCACTAATGCATTTTAATTCTCTGAAATCAGTATCCACCTCTAGTGAACTTATATTTAAACTCAGTGCCCTAAGCATGATGGATACTGAAATATTTTTGGTTGAAGGACATGGTAGCCTGGATTTTCAGAGTAGTTGTATTAGTCCATTTTCACACTGCTGATAAAGACATACCCAAGACTGGGTAATTTATAAAGAAAAAGAGGTTTAATGGACTCACAGTTCCACATGGCTGGGGAGGCCTCACAATCATGGTAGTAGGTGAAAGGCACATCTCACATGGCAGCAGACAAGAGAAAGAATGAGAACCAAGAGAAAGGGGTTTCCCCTTATAAAACTATCAGATCTTGTGAGACTTATTCACTACCACGAGAACAGTATGGGGGAAACTGCCCCCATGATTCAATTATCTCCCACTGGGTCCCTCCCATAACATGTGGGAATTATGGGAGCTACAATTCAAGATGAGATTTGAGTGGGGACACAGCCAAACCATATCAACAGTATTCCAAAATGGAGGAGAGGGAGAGCTGTTTGGATTAGAAAATAATAATAATAAGCCAGGTGTAATATAGACACTGAGCAGAGACTGCTTGCACATGGGGACTTCTCTAAAGATGGAAGTAAGTGATTACTTGGGTAAATCACAGAATCCTGAAATTTCATTCTGCAAATATGGAGAAGTTAGGTAAAAAACAAACTAGGTGAGATGGAGGCAAGCTAGGTTGTTTGGAGCATCTGTGGAGCACAGAGCTGGGTGTCTGCCAAGGTTCTCTATTATCTTTGCAGTGGTGGGTTCCTGTTCTCCCCACTGTAATCTGGGCGAGGTCACCTGTAACAGGCTTAACTTCATTTTTGTTCAGCCACTCCTGAATTACTTCCTTCTGTAGACTTGGAAAGGTTATGGCCAGATTATGTTCTCCATGTTAAATCTCTGTTATTCTTGATGAAAATAATCCAAACTGAGGGTTCCTGCACAAACTCCCCATCTGACTCTTTGATGTCCACTGTTCCCTAGAGAAATGTGAAGTTGGCTCCTGCAGCTGCACTTTTGGATTTGTTCCATTCTCAGAATAGGCCCAGAAGGATGTTTCTACAGCTTGGTACTTATTCTCAGCTCTTAGAATATTTTCTTAATTGCTTCCCTCCGCATCCTCCCAGCACTTGTGAGCTATGCTTCCACTGGGCTTCGTTGCCTGCATTTGTACATTGTTGGTTTCCCATTTTTTCCCCAAATATGATGTAACCTCCCTATTAAGTATGGGGTCTTTGCCATGAGTCCATCTGTGTTGTAATGTGGCTCTCTGTACTTATTTCATAACTATGCAAATACTTTTTTTTCTAACCCAGGTCACTTACACTCTAGAACCTCCCCATTCAAAGTGTGATCCACAAACCAGCATAGGCATAACCTGGGAACTTACTGGAAATGTAGGATCTCAGTCCCTGTCCCAGACCTACTGCATCACAATCTGAAATTTAACAAGATCCTCAGGTGATTCAGGTGCATATTACAATTTGAAATACGCTGGGCTACAGTGGTGGTTTTTGAAGCTGGTTGTACAGTAGTCACATGGAGAACTTCTAAAAAAATATCAAAGTTGGGTCCCACTCCTAGGGATTCTAATTTAATTGATTTGAGGCAGGGCCCTAATATGGATATTATTTTCAAGTTTTATATTTGTTCCATATTTACTTCATTTCACAGCTGAAACACACTTTCCTAGAATAAGCAATATTAGGTGAAATTTGTGCCCTTTTAGCTGTACATGTTGTATATTCTGTGTTAGACTAGAAGATCCTTGAAGGCCACTTCCACATTTTCTATGTTTTGTGAATCCTCCAAATCATCCTTGGTATGGTGTTAAGTGTATAATCATTGTTCAATGACATGTTCATGGTTGATGGGGTACTAAAGCAGGGGGGAGATGACTAGCATTTATGTCCTGGCCCTGTAAGCCATGACCTCTTTGACCCTGAGCAGATCACTTAAACCTCTCAGAAGTCAATGTTTTTGTTCAGTCAAATGTGAATGACTTCTAACTCTAGTAGTTATTCAGTCATTCATTCACATAATAAATGTGTATGAACATCTGTTCTTTAACAGCTACTGTTCTAGGCACTGAGGAGATAGTGGTCAACAGCCAAGACAGAAAAAGCCTTTGTCCTCATAGAACTTATAATGGGAGATATAAATAACAAGCAAATAAATAAAAATATGAAGCAGGATAGAGGCATAGGTAGTAATAAGTGCTAAGAAGAAAAATAGAGCACAGTTAAGTGTTGGAGCGTGGTAAATTGTTAGGTGACAGTGGGGAGACTTTATTTAACTAGGTTATCACAGAAGACCTTTCTGAAGAGGGGACATTTGAGCAGAGACTTGAATGGTGTAACAGGAAAGCTAGGCAAAGATCTGGGGGCAGGAAAGATCTTTCTAAGCAGACAGCCTCCAATAATAGAAGTCCTGGGTCAGAAACAAGCTAATGATGGTCAAGCGCTAGACAAAGAGCAAGGGTGGTTGTAGTAGCATTCTTTGTGGATGTCTCTAGTCTATGACTTAAAGGATCCGTATTTAAGTCTTAAAAGTATCAAAGCTTTAGAGCACTTATGGGAAACATAAATCACCTGCAGGCATAAATGCCCAATATTGGGGCAGCACAAAAGTAACAGAAACCAAGAGTGTCATCATCATTGGCTCAACTTCTGTACTTTCCAATATAGTAATATTTTACTTTAGGATCAGCAGGATCGTGAGACCAAACACATACAGAGATAATATTTACTTCTCTAGGCAGTGCCTTGAGTTCAGCAAATTTACTCCTGCTCTCTTGTGTGATGTAAAGGTCCATTTAGGCACTCTCCTGCTTCTGTCTCTTCCCCTTTGAGTGAACTGCTCAGAAAACAGGGATCAGCACAAAGAGCCAGCCCTCTGGGCATGGTGTCCTGGGTGTTGGGGCATGGCTCTGATTCCAAACTGTTTGAGTCTCTGGTTCCAGCCAAGGGGCTGAGTGGCATTAATTTTGTTGCTCTCTTGCTTCTTGAACCATTTTGTTTCAGATATCATGGTTTTATTTCTACAGTTCAGCTGCCAAAGTCCATCTAGGGTCCATAGATTTGTGTCCCAATTATAGAAACCTTAATTGCAAAATCTTGAAGTTAAAATATCAGCCCTCAAAGGAACAATGCTTGATGATGATGATTGGTGATGATGATGATTATGAGTAATGTAACCATAATGGGTCTCCTCTTTTTCACATGTCATTTGACTCTGGCAATGCACATTAAACATTTATAATATAACAACATGGACTTACACAAAATAACTTTAATTCTATTTCATCTCTCTTCTAATTACCTTATATGTATTATCAAATTCGATCCCCCTTCTGTATTAGGCACTGTCTTCATTACCAGGAAACTGAGTCACATAGACATTAGGCAACTTGTCCAAAGTTATACACTTAACCAGGCCTCAAACCCCAGCATTTCTGATTCCAAAGCTTGAGTTCATAGTCATATTGCATATCTTCCTGAGAAATAACCACTTATTTTACAAAATTCGGCTCAAGAATCTACTCTCAATGAAACTTTCTCTTACCTGCCCCTCATCAGGTATACACACTATGACAAAGACTATATTATTATCATTTTCAGTTCTTATTCTGTGTCAAGCTCTGTGCTTGGTGTTGTGCTTGTGTAACCCTTATAAAGTTAGGCTGCCTCCTGGCCATGCAATAAAATGGTTTTATTCAAAGTCCTATACTGTAAAATTAAATCGTTTTCGTCTTTATTGCATTATCTTTAAAAAGTCCAGAAAGATAATAGTATTCATAACACAGAACAACACTTCTGATAATCTTTCTCTCCCTTTGTCCTCATCCTCCCTCATCATAAGCAATGCATGAGAGCTGTATCCAATCCCACTTCTTCCAAACTCTAAAAATCTTTCCTCAAAACTCATTCCAGGTTTGATTTGCTCCTCTGTCTCTTCCTCGTTTCCTTCTTTCCTCCTTTTTCTTTCCAAATCTAGTTTATTTTTTCTCCCTACAGTAGTTTTGTATCCTTTCTAGTGTAAATAAATCTACTGTGTCTTAAGCTTCTTCACACTGGCAGTTCTACACACCCAATGAGATGAAAGCTGAATCAACCAACCTCATCAAACAGGCAGCCCTAGCAACAAAGGAACCTTAGAAGAAAAAAGAAAAGGCAATGGCCATTCATATGTTTATATTTTCCCCTTGTCATATATATATTCTTATCTATCATCACCACTCTTAAATGGCTTTAAGTTTTTGCCATCTTAAGATGAAAAATTGAGGATCAGAGACGGTTATCTCTTACCCAAAGTGATAGGGTAAATGAATACAAATCCAGAATATGAACCTACTCTGAGTAAATAAAAGCCCCTGAGTTTAGCCAGACTAGTTATTGGATGTGTTGCCTAATCTCTTCACTCTGCCTTAAAGGCTCCAGTGTCCTCTATAGCAGGGGTCAGTGAGCTATGGCCCATGAGCCAAATCCAGCCCACTACCTGTTTTTGCAAATAAAGTTTTATTGGAACATAGTCACACTCATTCATTTACATACATCTATGGCTGCTTTTGCACTACAAAGGCAGAGTTGAGTAGTTCTGACAAAGGCTGTATTGCTCTCTTAACTTAAAATGCTTACTGTATGGCTTTTTACAGAAAGTTTGCTGACTCCAGCTCTAGAAGACCCTCATAGCACCTCTTACAGTTAACCAGAAACAGGCCAATTCACCAAAAATCTATTTGTAGATTATTTATGACATTTACCATACTATATTTACCAATCTAACAAAAATATATTTATTTGAACTACTTATAGGATTTAAAGCAATTTGTGTTGGGTGAAATTAACAGCTTTTGAATCATTCTGCAAAGGTTTCTTTGCTTGGTTCTTATGTTGTTTTCTTAATTAATATGTCAGTGATGCTCAGTTTCTCATTGCCCTTGCATCCTGCTGAGTTAGCTGGAGGGTTTGGGGTAGAGAAAGGGGACCCTGAGTCTGGGGGAAGGCAGAGAGAAGAGCCATTTTAGAGCACATCCTGGGCTGCCATCAAGAGGAGTGAACCTGGGAGAAAGAAGGAGAAAGGCCAAGCACAGGAAGATAGGAGACCCTGCAGCTGGGGGCGAGTATGACAGCCCAGAACTCTGGATTCTAGCTACTCACAACATTAATGAGTGAGTCCTACTATCACATCCAATACTAATTTCTGTCAACCTACAAATAGTTTTAAAATAATTTGGTAATTTGATAAATTTGTTCAATATGACACGCAGATCATTCAGTGGATTTATCTGTTGCAAATTGGGTTCTGGCAAATCGTTTTAGTTAACAAGTTCATCAAGAAATGTTTATGGGGCATCTACTATGTGCCAAGTACCCTTGGGATTTACCAGTCAAAATTTAAAGACCTCCGTAATCTTCTTATAGGTTATATTCCATCAGGGGGAGACAGATAATAAGTAATATATACAACAAATAAGCAAATTATATGGCACTTTAGAAAGAGTTAAGTGCTGTTGGGGGGCAGGAAAGAATCAATAGTGTAATGAAGATTGAGACTACAAATGGAGGAATACAATTTTAAATAGTATGGTCAGGGTAGGCCTGATTGAGAAGATAATATTTGAGCAAAGACTTGATGGAGTGAGGAGAAAGGCACATAGACGTCTGGGAAAGAACATTCCAGGCAGAGGAAACAGTCAGTGCAGAAACTCTACGGTGAAAGCAACAAAGAGGACAGTGTGTCTGGAGTAGAAAGTGAAGGGAGAATTAGAAAATGAGGTCAAAGTAATTATGGTGGATGGACCATGTAGGTCCTTGTTGACCACTGAAAGGATTCCAGCTTACATACTAGGTGAAATGTGGGCCATGGAGGTTTTTGGACAAAGAAGCTGCATGGTATGACTTAGGTTTTAAAAAGGATACTGCAGCTGCTTTGTTGATTATAGACTGTGGGTGAACAAGGGAGGGAGCAAGGATACCAGTTAGGAGATTATTGAAGTTATCAAAGCGAGAGATGGAGATTGGGACCGGTGGCTAGCAGTGGAGAGATGAGAAAGGGTCAGATTTTGCTGCATGTACATTGAAGTAGGGCCAACAGAACTTCCTGATGGATTGGATATGGGATTTAAATGAAATAAAGTAGTTAAATGTTTTGCGTAGTAACTGGAATGATGGAGTTAGCGCCTACTTGACCATGAGAAAGACTGCGATTAGAACAGGTTAATGTAGACAGCTATGAGACATCAAAGTAGAGTCAGTGAATAGGCATTTGATATAGGAGTGTGGAGTTAATAGAAGGTTTTGGCTAAAGATACAAATTTCACTGATTGAAATACAGCTCCTGGCATTTCTTTGTTTCGTTTACTAGACTGTAAATTATTTCATGGCAAGAGCCTGTCTCATTCATTTATCTCCAGCCCTTAACATGGTGCCAGAAACATAATAACACTGTGTTTTGCTGATGTTCAAAGATGCTACATGAATGAATGAATGAATGAATGAATGAATGAACAGACACATACTTTTATGACGCTAACTTACTTATGCACTTTGAGACAAGAACATTTTCCTCCTGTGGAAGGAAAAAGACTTCAAGTTGTTTCATTTACCTCTAATGGTATTTAGAAAGCTTGCATGTTCAAGCAGGTATCATAGTAAAGGATCAAATATGGACTTTGAACTTGGCAGTGTGCTATCTTTTCCATCATTTAAGTTGTAGGAAGAGATAATACATATATTGACAGTCCAAGTTATTCTTGCTTTAAGAGGATGACTCATATTGATCAAAGAAGAGTTGTCAATTTCTAGACAAGCTGGATGATCAGAGTAACTAAAGTCTAAAGTAAAAGGTCAGGAATATTCATCCATCTGAGAAAAAAAAATGTATAGCTGACAGACTAAGACAAGAGAAAAATAATAACTTCTAGGAAGTAGATAACTTTATTATAGCTTAATTTAAAAGTAGAAAATGGCTGGGTGTGGTGGCTGAGGCCTGTAATCCCAGCACTTTGGGAGGCCAAGGCAGGTGGATTGCCTGAGCTCAGGAGTTCGAAACCAGCCTGGGCAACACGGCAAAACCCTGTCTCTACTAAAAATATGAACAATTAGCTGGGTGTGGTGGTAGGCGCCTGTAATCCTAGCTACTCGGGAGGCTGAGGCAGGAGAATCACTTGAACCTGGGAGGTGGAGGTTTCAGTGAGCCAAGATTGTGCCACTATACTCCAGCCTGGGTGACAGAGTGAGACTCTGTCTCAGAAAAAAAAAAAAAAAAAAGTAGAAAACATTTGCCAATATCATCCACAGTCTAAGAATTAAGTATATTTTTGCAGCTTACTAATAAATTTTTGAGGTTCATAATATCTCAAGCCTATGATGTATTCAAAGTAGCAACTCTGCCCAAATAAATATACTAATATAAATATTTTTATCAATTTTAATTTCCAGCTCCTATTTAAGAAAGGGAATGGAATAGTTTGGTAGATAGAACTGATGTATCAGGACACCGAGATTTATTATTTTCCTGAATATTACCAAGTTTGTTACTATAATTCCTTCTGTTGAGTTGTGACAAATGAGAATAAATTATACATTTTCAGATCTGTTCCTTTGCAATTCATAAAGCAGAATAAAACACACACACACACACACTCTTACATATACACAGATACCTATTAATAAAAATTCATGATCAACAAGGCAGTTTTATTTAAAGGAGCAGATATAACTTGATTTCAGAGTTGCAGAAAGCTTGGCTCACATTTTTTTACATTAATTTCAGTATATATTACTGCACAGAAAGATGAGCAACACTATTTTCTTAAGCTAACTCATTTTTAAAACTGTAATTTCAGATGTGAATGATGATAGAAAGCAGAGAAATTATCCTGATAAGCATTCCAGGCTCCAAACAAAATATATATGAATGTTCAGGCTTTAAAGGTTTAGGCACACATGAGTTATAAAAATATTTATTTAATTTTCTGAACAAGAATAGATTTACATGAATGCTATATATGATTTGTTTTAAAGTCTTCCCTGACCACATATACTATGGGCACAGTACCTAAGTTTGCATCTCTGTCAACAGGCAAACAATTTATATATTTATTACCAACACATTACAGTTACAAAGTTAACTTATAAAAGGATTAAAACATAGGATACTGAACTTTTCTATGACAGAGCACGGAATGTCTTTTCATTTGTTCAAATCAACTTTTGTGTTCTTGCACATTTCCTGTTAAGTTTATTCATAAATATTTTATTATTTTTCTGTTGCTATTGTTATTTTTCATTATATTTTGTATGAATAAAAGTTATTAATTTCCACATATTAATTTTGTATTTTACTACTTTACTGAACTCTCTAAATATTTATACTAGTAGTAGTAGATTTTTCAGTTGGTTCTCTTGAGTTTTCCAGATAGACTGTCATATCATTCACAAGTAGCTACCATGTTACCATCTCCTTTCTAATTTGTATACCTTTAGTTATTTTTCCTAAGTGCCTTAATGTCTACCTTGAGTACAATGTTGCATAATAATGCTAATGTAGGTATCCCTGTCTTGTTCCTGGTACTAGTCATAATTCTATATTTCCCCATTAAACATAGTTTTGGCTTTTGTATATATATTTTCCCTGAATTAGTATTATTAAAGATTTTCATGAAGAATTTAGGTTGAATGTTGCAAAATCTGTTTAGCATATCAGTAGCTGATCATATAATTTTTGCATTAGATTCCAGGCGCAGATGGATTCATAGAAGACTTCTAGTATACCTTGAAAAAGTAGATGATGCTAATTTGTTTTGTCAATTCCAGAACCTAATGTATGAAAGAAAAACTTCTAAATCATAAAGCAAGCATAACAATCATGCCAAAATTACTAGAAAAGATTACACACACACACACACACACACACAAAATAACTGAAGACAAGTCTCACTTAGGAAAATGGATGTAAAAATGCTATGTAGCAAACAATTCAGCTAGAAATTTAAAAATAAGTTATGACCAAGTACGATTTATTTAATAATGCAACGATAATTTATTATAAGAAAATCTATTACTAAAATATTTCATGTTAATTTATCTAAGGAGAAAAATCATATGGCTAAATGCTGAAAACTGTAGCCCTTGAAAAAATTTTTCTAGGGAAATGGGCTACTTAGATTTTTTAAAAATATCTCCTCAGTTTCAGTAAAGTATATTTTTCTACAAAACTGTCCATTTCATCCTGATTTTCCAATGTATATGTATAAGTTAAAGTAGTCTCTTAAGAGTCTTTTAATTTTCTGTGTTCTTTCCCATTATTGTTTCTTATTTTATATAGCTATATTTTCTCTCTTTCTTGATTAGTCTAGCAGTTTAGTTTATTTAAAAAGCTAGTTCTTCATTGTATTTATTATTCAGCTAATATTCTTTTTTAACTCATTAACTCCTGCTTTTATCTTTATTAATTCCTTTATTCTATTTTCCCCTAGTCCATTTTGTTGTTTACTGATAAAAATATTAAATCTCATTCTGAGTATGTCTCTAGATAGGTCATATAAATTGTGGTATAAATTGCTTTATTACTATTTTGTAGACACTGTGCAATTTCAGCTTGTATTTCTTCTTTGGTTCAAGGACTAAGAAATTCATGCTTTCCCCAGAAAGCAAAATCTTTTTATTTCCTACATTTTGTTGTTTTATTTTTAGTTTTATCACATTATGGGAAAATATTTGCTATATTGTTTTTAATTTTTGAAGTTTATTGAGATTGTCTTTGCAGTCTAGTACATGGTTGATTTTTATGAATATTCTATGGGTACTTGCAAAGAAGGCATATTCTTTATTTACAGAATTCAGAAAATACCGGTTAGATTTTCCGTGTTGCTTATGTTACTTAGATCTTCCATTTGATCTCCCTTCAGCTGTCAGCTTACTAGAGATTTCCATAGATATTTTCTCAAACTTGCACAACCTGAGGCCAGATGATCTCCTTTTCTCTGCTTTTCTAGCACCTGTACTTCCTGCTACTTTAACAATTCTTGCATTGCATTATAATTTACTTGTCCATACATTCAAGGTCCTTGAAAACAGGACCTGACAGCTGTTAGCACATAGAATGACCTCAAAATCATTTGTTGAATGAATGGATGAGTATTTTATAACTTTCTCCCATTTAGAATTTCTCTTTAAAGAGAAGGCTGGAGGGGAGGGGTCAGGGAAGGAGACACTGGGAAGAAAATATTATAGATACATTGGAGGTGTCCGGCAAATGGAAAATCTTCCAAACAAGTTCTATAATTCTCAGTCAGACACTGGCAGCCTAACACATTGGTACTCAGATATGGATCAGTAGCACGCCATCAGCCCAACTGCAACAGGAAAAATGGCAAATGGGCCAGTGTTCATCACCAGCATTACCTATTTCCCTAATTTTGTACCCTGCCTCTGAAGACACCACTAATCTCATATTATTATTCTGGCTTCAATGTTTAGAAACTTCCTCAGTCCTTTTCTCCCTTTTGCAATGAAAATTCCAATTAGGCCAGTCTCAGTTGAGTATTGGTTTTATTAAAGTAACTTGCAAGGAGTTGTGACTGACTCTATCAACTTAATTTTTCAGGGCATATTTTCTTTGCCAAATGGGAGCCTGCTAATCTAAATACATCTTCTGAATAGCTCTTCCACTTTCATGCCTAATCATACTTTGTGAATGCATGGAATCAGCATAGTTTATTGGAGGCGGCCATATACAATCTTGCCCTTTCCCTTTCGTTTCCTCATCTGAAAAATGATAAATTCCATTAGCTGATTTAGAAAGTTGTCTCAGCTCTGAAGTTCTGGCATTTAGCCTTTGTAAATTATTTTAAATAACCCCAATCACCATTGGAGAATTGCTGAGGGTAAGCAAGGCAAATATTGAATTCATAATAAATCCTCAAACGGCAGATGGCATGGTGGAGGGGATGTATAGTCAGTCTTTGACCATCCACAGCACTGAGGTATGGCACAAATCATCTTAACAGTGGATAATACAGAAATAGGTTATCAATGATCAAAGACAAAGAATGGAGAAAGGCCTAAGAGATCATCTGGTCCATGTCCTTTCCATAGACATAAATCCCCTGGGAAAAGGTAGTGTAGGTTAATCAAATATTCTTATTAATTGCTAGGTGCAAGATACCAGGAAAACTAATGCTGAAAGAATTAGAGTAAAATAAAAGATATTCCAAGTGGTAAAACTAGAATGAGTATGTGATGTCACAGTGGAAATAAAGCTGGACCAAGAATCTAGCTCCAGGCTTGGTTTTTCTCTTAACTGGTTCTTTGAGATTGGGAAAATCTCTCAAGCTCTCTGACCTCAGTATTTGCACAAGTATTGTATGTAGAGATAGAATGAGTTATATATTAACTTTTTGAAAAATTAGTTTATCCTACACAAAATACATAATAATTGTTCACAGTGACAATGTGCTTCATGTGAGAGAAAATCAGGCAAAATGATACAAACTTGGTATTTTCATAATGTTACTCATTAATGAAAAGCCTTCATTATCACCACTATGAGTCATAACACTGGATAAAGCTCAACAAATGTTTATGGTAAAAATCAAATTCAATTATGCATTATAAAAGCATAAATGGATCTCTAGCATTTGAGAGACTATACAGTTGATATACAGTTTATCCAAAATTCCATGGAAATAATTTTGCCTGGCTTTCTGAAAATTAATAATTAATAGTTTTAGATGTAAAGGTAAAACTGAGCTGTTTCAAACCAAACAGTAATTTTAAAGCAAGAATTGTAGCAGGAAAGTTAGCCCCTCTCTGATAGCATTGATGTCAAGAAACAGCAGTTTTCCCATATCTCTTAAGTGCTACTATCCAGGAAGAAGTCACACAAGAATGACTCCCACGTTTAACTTTAATGAAGATCCTAAATTGGATGAAACTATTAATTAATCTAACTAATTTGCAGCACTCAGGGCATTGATTCTAATGGCCGGATAGAAGTATAAAAGGTAATTCCACCATGATGATGAGAGTTAACATGTTTGAGCATTTACAAGGTACCAGGCCCAGTTCTAAAGCACTACCTACTTGTTATTTCACAGATATCTCAATACTTACAGCAAACCTATTAGGTGGGCTCCATTATTATCCTCATTTTTCAGCTGAGAAAACTGAAGCACAGAGTCATTAAGTATTGTGTCCAAACTGTACAGCTAGGAAGAGGCAAGACAGGATTTAGACCCTCAAAGTCCAATACTAGTGCTTACAGGGTTTATCACCACTCTAACTCAGCACTGATAGAGTGCAAGTCAATCATCTATTCTCTTGTATTTATTTACCTCTGTAAAACAGATTACACAAGGGCAGGAACCAAATGTTAATCATCTTTGTATACTTCTCAGCATTTCACACACAAGGAACAGTCTACGGTGATTTGTTGACTTATTGCTGAAAATATGCAATTCATTTTGGGGCCCCATATCTGTGTATACAATGACAAGTGGAAATTGAGATGAGAATTTATTTAAGTGATTCCGTAATAAACCCTTACAATTAAATGTTTTAAGATATGAATTATCCAGTTTTACTTTTTATGATCATTAAAATTAGAGAAAATTTGTTGATTCAGACTATATTAGGTAATGATTAGCTTGAATTAAAATATAGGATTAAAGCAGTAATTCATAATACTTTTTTTCTATAAAGAGATAAATAGATAACATTTTAGGCTTTCTGGGCTTAAAGTTCTCTGTTGCAGCTACTCAACTCTACCATGGTAAGTGGGCACTAGAGAGCCATAGAGAATATGTAAATGAATGGGTATGGCTTTGTTCTAATTAAACTGTATTTGCAAAAGCAAGTAGCAGAACAGATTTAACTGATGGACAGTAGTTTGATGACTCCTGGACTTCAGCTTAGGTAAACTGATTTTGAATAGCTACTTTTATACATGTTCAAGCATGGAGCCTACTTGAATGGATAGATTAAAAATGAATATATTATGGTTTTTCTTCTCTTATACTGATTAATTATCCTCCCAGATACCTTGCTTATTATTTTTAAACTGAACTTTTCTCTTTAAATAGTAAAGAAAAAAAAATCAAATTTTTCCAAATTCTGGATTCATGAGGCCCAAAATAAGCAACTTATCTCCCTTTTCTCATCTTTTTTATCTATCTATATTTCTTTCTCTCTCCTCCACAACAAAGATAACATATATTAACTGTCAATTGCTGCATAACAAATTTCTGCCAGATTTTAGTGGCTTAAACAATATTTTAATCTTACAGTTTTTATGAGCATTTTTATCTTGTAGTTTCTATGGGTTAGGAATCCAGGCACAACTCAGCTGGAACCTCTCTTTCAGAGTCTCCCACAAGGCTGAAATCTCACATGATTTCATAGCCAAGGCTGTAGTCTCACATGAAGGCTCAACTAGAGAAGGATCTACTTCCAAAGCTCACTCATATAGTTGTTGGCAAGATTCAGTTCCTCCTGTGCTGTCAGACTGAGGCCTCAGCTCTTCACTGGCTATTGGCTGAATGCTACCCTCAGTTCCTTGCTAGGTAGCCCTCTCCACAAAGGCAACATGAGAAGAGCCAGCAAGAGAGTGCCAGCACGAAAGAAAGTGCAAGCAAGATGGAAGGCAGTCTTTTATAACCTAATTGTGGAAGTAACATCCCATCAATTTTGACACATTGTATTTGTTAGAAACAAGTCAGTAGGTCAGCCCATAGTCAAGGGGAGCAGATTATCCAAGCACATGAATACCAAGAGACACGAATCATTGGGGCCCATTTTAGAAGGCTGCCTACCACACACTATTTTAATAAAACTAACTCTGCATTGGTCTTTTAGTGTAATGCTGTTTGTATTAGTCCGTTTTCACACTGCTGACAAAGACATACTGAAGACTGGGCAATTTACAAAAGAAAGAGGTTTAATTGACTTACAGTTCCATGTGGCAGGGGAGGCTTCACAGCCATGGCAGAAGATGAAAGGCACGTCTCACATGGCAGCAGACAAGAGAAGAGAGCTTGTGCAGGGAGACTTCCATTTTTAAAATCATCACATGTCGTGAGACTTATTTACTATCATGAGAATAGCACGGGAAAGACCTGCCCCCATGATTCAATTACCTCCCACTGGGTCCCTCCCACAACACGTGGAAATTCAAGATGAAATTTTTGGTGGGGAGACAGCCAAACCATATCATTCTGCCCCTAGCCCCTCTAAATCTCATGTCCTCACATTTCAAAACCAATCATGCCTTCCCAACAGTCCCCCAAAGTCTTAACTCATTTCACCATTAACTCAAAAGTCCACAGTCCAAAGTCTCATCTGAGACAAGGCAAGTTCCTTCCACCTATGAGCCTGTAAAATCAAAAACAAGTTAGTTACTTCCTAGATACAATCGGGATACAGGCATTGGGCAAATACAGCCATTCCAAATGGGAAAAATTGGTCAAAACAAAGGGGCTACAGGCCCCATGCAAGTCCAAAATTCAGCAGGGCAGTCAAATCTTAAAGCCCCAAAATGATCTCCTTTGACTCCATGTCTCACATCCAGGTGACTCTGATGCAAGAGATGGGTTCCCATGGTCTCAGGCAGCTCTGCCCCTGTGGATTTGCAAGGTACAGCCTCCCTCCTGGCTATTTTCACAGGCTGGCATTGAATGTCTGCAGCTTTTCCAGGTGTACAGTACAAGCTGTCAGTGGAGCTATCATTCTGGGGTCGGAAGGACGGTGGCCCTCTTCTCACAGGTGCACTAGGTGGTGTCTCAGTAGGGACTCTGTGTGGGGGCTCCCAACCCACATTTCACTTCTTCACTGCCCTAGCAGAGGTTCTCCATGAGAACATCAACCCTACAGCAAACTTCTGCTTGGGCATCCAGGTGTTTCTATACCTCTTCTGAAATCTAGGTTCCCAAACCTCAGTTCTTGACTTTTGTACACTCACAGGTTCAACACCACGTGGAAGCTGCCAAGGCTTGAGGCTTGCACCCTCTGAAGCCACAGCCTGAGCTCTATGTTGGCCCCTTTCAGCCACAGCTGGAATGGCTGGGATGCAGGTCACCAAGTCCCAAGGCTGCATGCTGCAAACAGCACAGGGACCCCAGGCCCAACCCATGAAACCACATTTTCCTCCTAGGCCTCTGGGCCTGTGATGGGAGGGGCTGCTGCAAAGGTCTCCAACATGCCCTGGAGACATTTTCTTCATTGTCTTGGTGATTAATATTTGGCCCCTCGACTTATGCAGATTTCTGCAGACAGCTTGAATTTCTCCTCAGAAAATGGGATTTACTTTTCTATTGCATTGTCAGGCTGCAAATTTTCCAAACTTTTATGCTGTTTCCCTTTTGAAACTGAATGCCTTTAACCACACCGAAGTCACCTCTTGAATGCTTTGCTGCTTAGAAATTTCTTCTACAAGATACCCTAAATCATCTCTCTCAAGTTCAAAGTTCCACAAATCTCTAGGCCAGGGGCAAAATGCCTCCAGTCTCTTTGCTAAAACATAATAAGAGTCACCTTTGCTCTGGTTCCCAACAAGTTTCTTATCTCCACCTGAGATCACCTCAGCCTGGACCTTATTGTTCATATCACTATCGGCATTTTTGTCAAAGCCATTCAACAAGTCTCTAGGAAGTTCCAAACTTTCCTATATTTTCCTGTCTTCTGAGCCCTCCAAACTGTTCCAACCTCTGCCTGTTACCCAGTTGCAAAGTCACTTCCATATTTTTGGCTATCTTTTCAGCAATACCCCACTCTATTGTACCAGTTTACTGTATTAGTTTGTTTTCACACTGCTGATAAAGACATATCTAAGACTGGGCAATTTAGAAAAGAAAGAGGTTTAATGGACTTATAGTCCCACGTGGCTGGGGAGGCCTCACAATCATGGTGGAAGGCAAGGAGAAGCAAGTCACATCTTATGTGGACGGCAGCAGGCAAAAGAGAGCTTGTGCAGAGAAACTCTCATTTTTAAAACCACCAGATCTCGCGAGACTTATTCACTATCATGACAACAGCACGGGAAAGACCTGCCCCCATGATTCAATTACCTCCCACCAGGTCCCTCCCATAACACATGGAAATTTAAGATAAGATTTGGGTGGGGACACAGCCAAACCATATCACTGTTAAAACCTTTAACTAACTGATGTCCTGTCAACAGGAGTAATTTGTACTTTCGTAATATCCACATCCTTATAGGCTCAAAATGTAACTGTGACTCTGTCCTCCTAAGGAGCTCAGGGTGGGACAGATTATTTATATAACATTTCTGCAAATAAGGTGCTCTCATTATCTGACCCCAGGAGAGTTGGCATATGCTGAATGATTCTCGCACAGTATTAGACAGGAAATACTAGTTTCTGTTTCAGCTCCATTATTCTAATTTTATAAATTTAAAACTAGCTGTGCAGAGCAAAAAGGGAAGTGATAGGTGTTAAATCATATGGGCAATATAGGTCCTAAATTGATTTGGTACTTACTGCTTGAAGAATGTTTTTTGATTCATGTCAACACTCCATTCTTACTGGTGATGGGCAAGCCAGCCAGGCATAGGATATTTGCTAGTAAGAAAAAAATTTTCAGGATGTGTTTCTTTGCTATCCTGGTTCTAAATGGCAATGATGTGGCAGGCATCATTTTTGTGATAGGCTCTCCTGATCTAATTTGGGGTTTGAGTCATTTGTTTCAGTAAACTGCAGACCCTGTGACAAGCATTTGGATGCAGTTTATTTGAAAGATGGTGACAAGAAAGACAAGAGAGAATGTGGAATGTAAATAGTGAAAAGAGAAAAGGCAAACAAGTGTATTATTGAGTTGGTTACCATGAGGGACAACTAGTGTTCAATTATGCTAGGGATCCTCCAAAAACTGTGTAGAATTCTCTTCAGATTGCCCCAACAAGTACCAGGAAATCCAGGGTCTTTATCCACCAACCCCCATCCTTCCATGGTTGAGGACTGCCCCTGGTAGTGTTCTAGGCTTCCTTGCATGCATGTCAAGAAAGTTTCCAAGGTACCAGAGAAATCTCTTAGGCAGAAAAGCAGAGCTTGGGGTGAGTTGCTGAGGGTTTATGTGAGAATTGTCCATTGAATCTGCAAGTAAACTCAGTGTATCTGCTATGCACATAGTATTGCACATGCAATTGTTTTTCCTGAATTAGTACTATTTGCTTCTAAGCAAGGAATTCACTATTTTAGGCAAGTCTTGCCTGGCACATAGAGGCATTCAATGAATAGACATTATCAGATGATACTGAAAGTGCTAAGAATGCAGAGTAGAGGGCCTGAAGGCTGTTACTGGGACTCACAGCTCTGATCACCTTGACATTGGGAACCCATACTGCTATTGATGTGGTTTCCTCTCTCATCACTTTTTATTTCCCTTGAGTCACAGAATCTTAGAATAGCAGAACCCTTGAAAATTATCAGCCCGATCCTTTTATATCCCAAGTGGGAGTGTGAGACCCCAAATCGTGAGATAATGTGCCCAAATTTGCAATGTGAGCCAGTGGCAAAGCTGAGGTCCACATTTTTGGCATCTTCTCATGGCTCTCTCTAACACAGCCTTGCTGCTTTCTCTTACTTTAGATAGTCATACTGGATTGATTTCCGCCAAGGGGCTGAGATTGATCTAAACTTTCTGAAGCAGATGTATGCAACTGATATGTTAGAAACTGAGGCACTCAATGAGCCCAACCAAAATATTTTCACACTTACACTTTATCTTTTAAGCATTCTGTACACTTCCATATTGAAAAATAATAATGCTATCTGATGGCATGGCCTTTTATTTCTTCAAAGAGCTTACACATCTACTTATGTCATTTTACTCAAGAGGCAGTAGGATTTCTTTTTAATCATTACAGACTCCTGTAGGCTAGTATCTATTGCAAATAGGTATTTAACTATTAATGGGTGATTTGTGCTTCTGGTTTTTTTGTTAAAGAGAAAGGAATGGAGCTGACTTGTATCAAAATGCTGCTCAACTATAGGAAGTGGATACAGTAGAGACATAATCTTTGGTAATTTATAACTAACAAAAAGTGAGATCAACAGCCCAGCCAGAAGCTTTTGAACCACATTAATTACAAACCTTTGACTGACCTGTAGCTCCTTTTCTTGTTTTCTCCTCCCCACATGGAACCTGGAGCGTGGTGGATGCCTGGAATTTTTCCATTTCAGTTTCACTTTGAATAGTATGAAACAGTAGGTAGCTGATTAACTTCAAGAGCTTTAGGTTAGAACACACTAGGCTTGAGCGCCCAGAGTGCCATGCCAAGAAGGGAAGGTGTCTGGCAAGTTGGCTCCTATCGAGACATCCTTGATGATCTGCAGCCTCCACTGTGAGCTCACATTAAAGTACAGAGCTGACACTAAATCAGTCCACAAGCCAGAGTCTGGGTCGGAAAGCTTCTCGGCTACCACTGACTCTACCATTCAATTGAAATTCATATTTCACACTATACTCTCATATATTAAATACTCTATGGCCCTCCACTAAAGGAATCCCTGTTCTCATCCCCAGGATGTAGCATCACAGTGCTCAGAGGGTTCAGGTGCATTGGTGGAGAAGTTCAGCACCAGAAGGGGCCTCTTTGTATCCTGGAGTTATCACAAGATTCTAGGTATTCTGAGGAAATGATTTCTCCATCACTGCAACTTGAACTGGGCTTCTAAGACTGCCTCTATTTTGTACTCCAGAATCACCCATTCCCTACATATCTTACCCACTGTTCATCTCAGGAGTACATCATCCATAATTGTTATGAGATGATGACGCATCTGCACATAGTCACTTAACACAGGTACACCCACTCACTCTGGTAAGGTTCTGAGTTTGAGAAATGGTCAGGGGTGAAAGGTTTGGCCACTGCTTCCTTCCTGATTTGGCTCCTCATCCCACTATAGGAGGCATAGGCAACTTGGAAATCATAAACCAACAAGCTCAGTCCAGGGAGTGGAGACCTGTCAGCTCTTCCATATTCCTCTACCCATCACTATAAACCTTACCCACCATTCCAAGGCCTTTCCAAATAACAGTTATTAAACTTCCCTCTTTTATTTCCTTGCTTGTAAGTATGAATTTTGAACCTGGGTTAGGGTAGGGAGTAAATGCACAAATAGTATACAAGTAGTCGAGGCACTAATTGCTGACTGAGAAAACAAATGAAGATTGCGGTTATCTGCCATCTATGAACACTTATCTTCACAGTATGTCCATGGCTGCAGGTGTGACAGTGCTACTGTTGTTTCTTGCTTGCCAGTCCCACTGCATGTACCTTCTCACCTCTTTTCCACATCAGATGTTGTCATCTGGTGTAAGCACAGTCTGTGAGTAATTCTTCTGACTCATCGCCAGAGAGGGAGGTTCCCACAGGGGTCAGTGAGGCAGAAAAGCACAGAATTTGGAGTCAAGCCAGATTTAATGCAAATCGCAGCTCAACTATTCTTTTGCTGTGTGATCTTGGTAAAGTTAATGAGTGAACTCAGCTTCCTTATCCTTATAATGGAGATAACTCATAGAATGGTGGTGGTGTAAGCTTTTTGTTGATGATAGTGGTGGTGGTGATTTTGTTCTGTTTTCTTTTTGTAACAGCATATATCAGTCCCCATGATATACAGGAGTGCTCACTGCAATGAAGTTCCATTTATGTGAACTTAGATTATGTGAATTTAAAGCAAAGCAATATAAAAATACTAACAAAGTCTTAGTCCATGCACAAAACATCAAATACAAGATATTTTACTTTACATTATTCCTGTGGGGAAAACTGCCTTGAATTATGCAAGTTTTGAATTATGCAGTGTCTTCAGGGGCTCATCCCTTACAAGCCAATGTGTCTGAGAATCTACAATCTGCCAAATGAGTGTTAAGTTTTATATAAAGTATCTTATTCAATCCTTCAATGACCCCATGAAACTGGAATGTGTGGGCCCCTACTTTGATATGAAGAAATCAAGATTCAAAAAGGTTAAGTAATTTTTCCAAATTCATTGGTCATTCACCTAGGATTCAAATCCAAGTTGGTCTAGCTTCAAAAATATTCATTATTTTTCCTTTTTTTTCTTTCTTCCATATCTTCATAGTCTCCCAGTTTTTCTCTTCTCTTTCTTTCTCCTTTTCTCTCTCTCTCTCCCATGCACACACACACAAACACACACACTCTCTGACTACACAAACATTTATTAAGTGAAGCATCATCTCATCATCTCCCCAAAGCCCATTGTTGTCTTTCCAATACTGAGATCACCCAATTGGGTCTTTTCTTCATTGAGATTGTTTTTCCACCAGTGGGCAATTTGTTCCGAATCCCCACTTCCCCCTTATTCCTGCCCTTGTTAGATAATAAACATACATCACTTGTTTTGTCACTGAAGGTGCAGGCACAGGAAGTAGACTATGGCAGGAATCAATGTGCTTGTCTATCAGCCAAAAATGTAGTGACGTGGCAGACATAAGCACAGGGAAGAAGATGCTGCATTGCCCTACTTCCTCCAGATGCTAACCCCTCCTTCACCTTGACTCTCTCAGATGCCTACATTTGCAGGAGGCTGAGACTTAGAGGTGCCTTTCTGCAGAGTGTCCCTATGGTGCCTCTAACAATGGATATCACCTGGTGTTGCTTGTGTATTCTAGGGCTGGCAGTTTTACTCTTCTTGTACCTCTCCACTCATGAAACTCACACGGATAGTAAGTTTTGGCAAGCTACTTTAAACAATTTTCTGACCACCATAATGGAGAGAAATGTATTCATCTTTGGAAAGAATATCAACTCACTAGGCCTGTGTACCGTCCAATGCCCAACAAACTAATTGGTCCCCAAAGGTCCATTTATAATTGGGTGGTTCCTGCAGATACCAGGCTTGGAGGCATTGCCACTCAGTGTCTGTTTCTGCAAACAGCACTTTAATAAGTAACTCTTTACTCAACTACTCAGTATAGAACTCAACAATATTAGATATGGAGAGAAAATGGGGTGAGGGTGGTGACACTGGGATGGGCCAGGTAGTCAGTGCTGTCATCATCCATCTCTGCCAAGGAAATCTGATTTCCCCAGCATTAAATGGCAGGTGTGAGCTCCTTAATTAGGCAATAAAAATGGCAACTTGGCAGTGAAACTATAAACATGAAATTGTACAGCACCATGAATCTTTGGCACCAGGATTAACTTGACTATATTTTTTTCTCGTGATACAGTTACTGAATATAGGTAAGAGATCAAACAGAAAAAGCAAAGCCAGAATTCTCATTCCCACCTCTGTTAATTACTAGCTATATAAAGTTTAGATATGCATTTAATAAACTAATTTCCCCCCAAAATGGGAATGGAAAGCATGATGGTATACTTTATAGCACTCAATAAAAGATAAGTTGATTGGAGTTACCAAAGCCTTCTATTTTATGTAACAGAAACACATCTCAGGCTACTGTGGCCAACAGTTATCTCTCATTTCAACAGCTGCATTAATCAAGGTTAATTACATATTTTCCACATATAAATTAGATAAAATGAAATTGTACTGTACAGAAAACTATTCTGCTTTACCAATAGTTTTCAGGCATAGTTTGAGAATAATTAAACATTTTTATTTGTATAAATGTAAGTGGCACAAGTGCAATTTTGTTACATGGATATATTGTGGAGAATAATTAAACATTGACTCAAGCAGGTGGATATGAGGAATCATTCCACTTAAAGAAGGAATATCTGAATATTTTGAGATTGCCCTATGAATTTCATTTTGTTTCTTTTCTATTACAAAACAACACTTGATCATAGTCATTTGTGATTTTTTCTCCACTGTAGTGAACTGCTCTCTGTACACATTCATTAGCAATCCTCCTTGATTAGCTGCTGGAGGAATGTCGCAGTTCTCTGGGGTCAGCCTAGGGGCTGGGAATGTGAATATACTTTAGTTGGCACATTATCACATGGAAGTGCCTTGCCCATGAGGAATGGAGAGGGTATCCAAGCTGTAAGGACATTCAAGTAATCCTTGTACAATGGTGACTCATTCTTCTGTCCTGGGGATAAACATCATGTAGAAAATGTCCCAACCAATAACATCAACTGGCTTCATGGCACAGGAAACAGTACAGTGTCTGAACACAGACAAAACAAATTGTGGGGCTAAAGTAAATAAATTCATGACTTGATTTTCTACTTTGAAACTGAACTAATGATGTAATTCATGAAAAAAATTGACTCAATAAAACTTGCCAAAGTTTTCAAAAATGCCAAGACAGTATTAAAAAGAATATTAATGGGAAACACCTCTAAGAAATGTCTATACAATGCGAAACAACTGAGCAACTAACCAAATTCCACCATCTCACTTATCTGTTCAAACAACAGATAAATGCTTATCTAGCACCATGAAACTCTAAACCACTTGACTGGTTCTACTTTCCCGCCAGATATATTTGCAAACTACATAAGTTATAAAGTCATCTAAATAATAAGTATTCTCCTTTCCGTTAATGAAAATAAATCCAGAGTAATTTGGATATCAACAACTATCATCTCTAAAAGACCAAAACTACATTTTTCTTCTTTTTAGTTGTCTTTTTTTTTTGTAGCTTACCCTTTATATAAAGCAATAATTGTGAAAGGAATTTGAATTTATATAGCACTTGGAAAATTTGACAGTCAACAAAAACTTACAGGGACACTTACTATATGCACAAAAACTTGTCCTTGGTGGCATGGATACAGAAGACATTACTGGATCTATATTCCCCCAAGTATCCTATACTTTAGTTGGGTGGATAAAACACATATGCATGAAGCGAAGACTAAACTGGATGATTCTATCTTTAAGTGCGTTACAAATTCTAAAGATGGGCAAGACGACCGTGGGCTAGAATAGGCAAAGAAATTATCACCTTGGGGATGGAATTTGGTCTACTCCTTGAAGAATTATCTGGAAATAAACAGATATAAAATGTGGGAAATGTTTCTATGCTGGGAGAAGAGTGTAGACCAGGGTTTTTCCACCTTATAACACTATTAACATTTGGGACTGGGTAATTATTTGTCATAAAGAGCTGTCCTTTGCATTGTTGGGTATTTAACAGCATCCCTGGCCTCAACCCACTAGAAACCAGAGCAACTCTTTACTTCCCAGATGGAACAACCAAAAACATCTTCTGGCACTGCTGAATGTTCTTCAGAGCAACATCACTTCTGGTTGAGAACCACTGGACTGGATATAGTTACCTCGGTTTTTTGTTTGTTTGTTTTTGTTTTTGCTTTCTCTCTCTCAGGGTTTTCCAACCTCAGAATTATTAGCATTTCGACTGGATAAGTCTTTGTTTTGGATGCTGTCCTGTGCATAATAGGATGTTTAGAAGCATCCGTGACCTCAACTACCAGATGCCAATAGCACTGCTCCCTGGTTGTGACAATCAAAAATATCTCCAGACGTTGCCAAATGTCCCCTGGAGTGAAAAGTCAACCTCATTTAGGAACTACTGGTGTAGACAAAGTCATCAGTGGGAATGGATTTGGCTTACTCAGGGCTAAGCAAAATTGTTTAAACAAAACACCAAGCTTGTGTTATGAAAGAGTGCAATAAGATTGATTAACTAGGGTAGACACATGCTGTGCGAGGCCTTGAATACCAGAGACTGCAATAGGCAGCCACAGTAATTCCTAAGCAGATGTGTTTCAAAATGAAATTGGTGTTTTAAATTTAATTTCACAGAAGCAAAAGACTAGGTGCCATGGGGAAGAACTGAATGCAGGGGGACTGGTTAGGAAGTTGTTATAATAACCAGGCATTAGGTGTTGATGGATAGGATTAAAGTGACATCTTTGGAATGGAGAGAGTAAAGAGTAAACCCAGGATTGCTTTACAGAGAGAAATGTTGAGTCTGTGCAATAGATTGAGTATTAGAGATGAAGACAATGGAGGGGGAAACAGTGGTAAAACCAGGTTGCTAGTGAGAAGAAAGATTTAAATGAGATGAATAAGAAGGAGGTGGCATTTAATATGTTTAATTTTGCAAATACTAACTAGCTATTTTAGTATTATCACAGAATGCTGCTGTGAGGTCAGGGCTGAGGGAATAATTTGAGAGCTTTGGAAACACAAAACCTTCATATCCTCAATGAATTTATCCACTCCTATAGCTTTCTTCTTATTCCTGTAGCTTGACAAAATAAAAATTTCCTTCTCACTCACATTAAACTCTACTATGGGGTTGGTGGCCCTAGGTCTTTTGGGGATCCAGCCTTCTTCCATCTTACGGCACTGCCATCTTAAACCGGTGACATCTAAGGTGGCTGCAGAAGGTATAGTCTTAAGGGCCTCATGGAAGATTTTAGCGGTCCTAACATGTGTAACTTCTGCCTACATTCCATGGAGGATCCAAAAGAAGTGGCAAATCCAGCTTACTGGTAGAGGAAATGAAATTTAGAAGAATATAGCCAGTCTCTGTTATAGCGCTCAACATACACACCACCACCACCACCACCACCACCACCCTGACACACAGAAATAAGAAGAAAGCTATAGGAGTGGATTAATTCATTGAGGATATGAAGATAGAGTGAAAACTGAGGAGGAGAGTTCAAGAAATGGAAATACCAAATGGAATAAGATGTCCCAAAGAGAGTAAGGAAGATCAGATGATTCAGAGATGTTGGAGAGCCTAGAAGAGAACCAACCTATATAGAGGTGAAAGTGCCAAGAAGACGGAAGGTAAATTTCCATAAGGAGGATAATGTCTACTTTGCTAAGACTCTTGCTTTCATCAGAGGCAAAGAGCATCATGATGATTGTTAAAAAAAAAAAGAAAAGAAAAAGACACCTTATACATCTATACTCCACCTCAAAACCATCATTAGCTTATCTTTACAAATTTTTGAAACCCCAAACCTATCAGCTTGGCTTTCAATGCCTTCTTTTGCCAGCCCAGCCTAACTGTCCACCCCTCACCGTTAACTCCCAGGTGCCCAGCATATCCCGGTCACTGGGTTGCTCATTATTCGCAAGACCACCATACTCTCTCCCATCTTTACAGCTTTGATTTTACAGCTTCTTCTACCCACCAAAGACCTGGCTCTCCTCAAGCCTAAAACAAGTGCTACACCACCTAGGAATAAAGCCTTTACTGATTTTTCCATCGATATTAACCTCCCCGTATTCTACCGACTTTTTGTCCTTCCTTTACTTTGTCATGTGGAACCATCTACTTTATATCACTTATATGTTCATGTGACTGTTTCCCTCAGTAGACCATGGGATTCTTAAGTGGTGAAGCAGGGCCACTAAGATGTACAACCCCAAGAAAAACAAGATAACACTAAAGTCTAGGTCAGAGGCTGGAAAATGTTTTCTGTAAAGAGCCATATGGTATTTTAGGCTTTGTGGCCATTTGGTTTCTGTCACAACTACTCAACTGTACCATTTTAGTTCAAAAGTATCCACAGACAATATGTAAATGAATGAATATGGCTGTCTTCAAATAAAACTTTATTTATAAAACAGGCAGTGGACTGAATTTGATCCATGGACTATAATATGCTGCTCCATGATCTATGTGAATGATACTTTCTAGAGCACAGCATGAGTGGGGTCCCCTGAAATATAATCTGGGAAGTCCTGGGGAGAATTAATATACTTCTTAGTCATCTTTGTATCTTTTACCCCATTTCCCACCAGCACCTAGTAGAGCCTTCAATGTAGTATGCTCTCAATGTTTGTTTTTGTTTTTCTGAATTAAATATGCTATGCCTGAAAAGATACCAACTTAGTTAATCATAACAGCACTTTGAGAACTTCATTACCTTTTAAAACTATCTTGCAAGTTTGTAGTAAAGTAGTTCAAGAAGGAATCTTGTAAGCCCAAGAATCATAAAAATAATGTAACAGGGGAAGATGTGAGCTCAAAACATCTAAGGATTAGCAGCTGAAAGAAGAGAATCTGACATCAGAGCTGGGTAAAAGCAACAAAAAGGCATTTCAGTTCTGAGAAACCAGCACCAAGGAACATCACATCATATGTGATAGATGTCTCACAACACCCTCTAAATCCATGTGAATAATGCATTTAATGCCAGCACTTCAATGCTGGAAAGATGTTCATGATTTGGAGGAAACTCAGAGAGCAACCAAAATGATTAAGAGACTGAAAGGACTCATTTGTGAGCAGCTGAAAAAGAAGCCAAATATGAGCTTGGTCTGCTGATTGCTAGAAGATGGGGAAAAGGTGTATAAATTACTGAATGCTGTAAACACCAGGAAGAGGAGGAATGATGGTCAGCTCTACTGGACTTAGCTCTTGGTAGGCACATATCTCGGGCATTAACACATTCCTCTCATTATTGGGTCTTAAAACATTTATGGGCCATGTGAATAATATATAACTGGAAATGCTGTGATTGGTAATGTTCTATTATTACAGGAAAATAGTATAACTTAATTATACTTTAAGTTCTAGGTTAAAGGTGCACAACGTGCGGGTTTGTTACATATGTATACATGTGCCATGTTGGTGTTCCAGAAGAGCAAATACAAGACAAACTATTAAGGAAGCAAATGTTCCAGGAATGTTAGGCGAGCTAAGAGAATAAAAACTCACTAATAGTACACTCTTAGAAGTATCAAATATATACAATCGTGGGTAACAGTATATCATTCATAACTGTTTAAATTAAAGCACAAAGATGCAAAAATAGCTAGATATTTCCTTCCTTTCCTTCCTTGCTTTCTTCCTTCCTTCCTTCTTTCATTCAATTCATTCATTCATTCAACCATCAGTCCATCCATCATAGATCCATCCACCATGTATTTATCCACCAATCCATCTATCCATCCCACATAACTACTGCCTATGCACTATTTGCTAGGTCCTGTGCTGGTGATACAAAGTAATACTGCACAGGGCCTAAACTAAAAACGAAAACAAAAAAATAAACCTACAGTCTAAGAGTAGGGTCAGGGAATACTTTAAAATATAACTGGCCGGGCACAGTGGCTCACGCCTGTAATTCCAGCACTTTAGGAGGCTGAGATGGGCAAATCATTTGAGGTCAGCAGTTTGAGACCAGCCTGGGCAACATGGTGAAACCCTGTCTCTACTAAAAAATACAAAAGTTAGCCAGGTGTGGTGGCACGTGCCTGTAATCCCAGTTACTCGGCAGGCTGAGGCAGGAGAATCATTTGATCCTGGGAGGCAGAGGCTGCAGTGAGCCGAGATCGCGCCACTGCACTCCAGCCTGGGCAACAGTGCGAGACACCATCTCAAAAAAAAAAAAAAAAAAAATATATATATATATATATATGTATATATATGTGTGTGTGTCTATATATGTATATTTATGTGTGTATATATGTATTTATATATGTATGTGTGTGTGTGTGTGTATATATATAAATATATATAAAATTGTAAGTTGAGTGAGATGAGGGACATCTTCCATGTAAAAAGTGGGCTAAGAAGGAACAGATAAGTTCAATAGAGAGTGATAAGGGAACAAAGAAACATGGCCCCTAACTCAGATGAGAGAAAGGGGAAAGGTCGGGATATTCCCAGGGGAATTGATATCTTGGCTAAGTCCTAAAGAATTCTGAGGCATCTATTAATCAGAAGGAGTGGGAATAACCATCCCAGGTAGGAAGAATAATATGTTTAAAAGACTGGAGATAAAGTGCTAGATCATTTTATCACAACACATGTGGAACTGATACAAGTACTTCAGATTGTTTTAGACAAATAGTGTAAGGCAGGTGGTGATCTTAAAAATAATAATTAGAATATATTATGATTGTGGGTGAGTTTTATGTTCCTTATTAATTTTTGTCTCTTCCAAAATTTATCCATTAACAAAATCACACCCTTCTATGGCCAAATAATTGCAAACATTTATAAGGACTTATTCTGTGTTTGAAACTATTTTAAAATCTTTTTTTTTTTAATTATACTTTAAGTTCTAGGGTACATGTGCACAACGTGCAGGTTTGTTACATATGTATACATGTGCCATGTTGGTGTGCTGCACCCGATAACTCATCATTTACATTACGTATATCTCCTAATGCTTTCCTTTCCCCCTCCCCCCACCCCACGACAGGCCCCGGTGTGTGATGTTCCCCTTCCTGTGTCCAAGTGTTCTCATTGTTCAATTCTCACCTATGAGTGAGAATATGCGGTGTTTGGTTTTTTGTCCTTGCAACAGTTTGCTGAGAATGATGGTTTCCAGCTTCATGCATGTCCCTACAAAGGACATGAACTCATCCTTTTTTATGGCTGCATAGTATTCCATGGTGTATATATGCCACATTTTCTTAATCCAGTCTATCATTGATGGACATTTGAGTTGGTTCCAAGTCTTTGCTATTGTGAATAGTGCCGCAATAAACATACGTGTGCATGTGTCTTTATAGAAGCATGATTTATAATCCTTTGGGTATATACCCAGTAATGGGGTGGCTGGGTCAAATGGTATTTCTAGTTCTAAATCCTTGAGGAATCGCCACACTGTCTTCCACAATGGTTGAACTAATTTACAGTCTCACCAGCAGTGTAAAAGTGTTCCTATTTCTCCACATCCTCTCCAGCACCTGTTGTTTCCTGACTTTTTAATGATGGCCATTCTAACTGGTGTGAGATGGTATCTCATTGTGCTTTTGATTTGCATTTTTCTGATGGCCAGTGATGATGAGCAGTTTTTCATGTGTCTGTTGGCTGCATAAATGTCTTCTTTTGAGAAGTGTCTGTTCATGTCCTTTGCCCATTTGTTGATGGGGTTGTTTTTTTCTTGTAAATTTGTTTGAGTTCATTGTAGATTCTGGATATTAGCCCTTTGTCAGATGAGTAGATTGCAAAAATTTTCTCCCATTCTGTAGGTTGCCTGTTCACTCTGATGGTAGTTTCTTTTGCTGTGCAGAAGCTCTTTAGTTTAATTAGATCCCATTTGTCAATTTTGGCTTTTGTTGCCATTGCTTTTGGTGTTGTAGACATGAAGTCCTTGCCCATGCCTATGTCCTAATGGTATTGCCTAGGTTTCCTTCTAGGGTCTTTATGGTTTTAGGTCTAACATTTAAGTCTTTAATCCATCTTGAATTGATTTTTGTATAAGGTGTAAGGAAGGGATCCAGTTTCAGCTTTCTACATATGGCTAGCCAATTTTCCCAGCACCATTTATTAAATAGGGAATCCTATTTAATGCAGTGCACCAGCATGGCACATGTATACATATGTAACTAACCTGCACATTGTGCACATGTACCCTAAAACTTAAAGTATAATAATAAAAAAAAAAGCAGAATCAGTAGGGCCATGGAGAATTCTTAGCTAAGAATTTTATTATGGGCCTATAATGTCTATGACATTAATTTGATGGGATTTTGCTACGTGAATGTACAGAATAGTAAAACTTGGGTTTCAAAAATAAAAAACTAAAAAATAAATAAATAAATGGGGAATCCTTTCCCCTTTTCTTGTTTTTGCCAGGTTTGTCAAAGATCAGATGGTTGTAGATGTGTGGTATTATTTCTGAGGGCTCCGTTCTGTTCCATTGGTCTAGATCTCTGTTTTGGTACCAGTACCATGCTGTTTTGGTTACTGTAGCCTTGTAGTATAGTTTGAAGTCAGGTAGGGTGATGCCTCCAGCTTTGTTCTTTTGGCTTAGGATTGACTTGGCGATGCAGGCTCTTTTTTGGTTCCATAGGAACTTTAAAGTAGTTTTTTCCAATTCTGTGAAGAAAGGCATTGGTAGCTTGATTGGGGATGGCATTGAATCTATAAATTACCTTGGGCAGTATGGCCATTTTCAGGATATTGATTCTTCCTATCCATGAGCATGGAATGTTCTTCCATTTGTTTGTGTCCTCTTTTATTTCATTGAGCAGTGGTTTGTAGTTCTCCTTGAACAGGTCCTTCATATCTCTTGTGAACTGGATTCCTAGGTATTTTATTCT
The DNA here is from genome assembly GCF_000001405.40 of Homo sapiens. NCBI lineage: Eukaryota > Metazoa > Chordata > Mammalia > Primates > Hominidae > Homo > Homo sapiens. The sequence goes on from NC_000023.11 coordinate 14,684,569, forward strand.
CTTTGAAGCAATTGTGAATGGGAGTTCACTCATGATTTGGCTCTGTTTGTCTGTTACTGGTGTATAAGAATGCTTGTGATTTTTGCACATTGATTTTGTATCCTGAGACTTTGCTGAAGTTGCTTATCAGCTTAAGGAGATTTTTGGCTGAGACCATGGGGTTTTCTAAAGATAAAATCATCTCATCTACAAACAGGGACAATTTGACTTCCTCTTTTCCTAATTGAAAGCCCTTTATTTCCTTCTCCTGCCTGATTGCCCTGGCCAGAACTTCCAACACTATGTTGAATAGGAGTGGTGAGAGAGGGCATCCCTGTCTTGTGCCAGTTTTCAAAGGGAATGCTTCCAGTTTTTGCCCATTCAGTATGATATTAGCTGTGGGTTTGTCATAGATAGCTCTTATTATTTTGAGATATGTCCCATCAATACCTAATTTATTGAGAGTTTTTAGCATGAAGGGTTGTTGAATTTTGTCAAAGGCCTTTTCTGCATCTATTGAGATAATCATGTGGTTTTTGTCTTTGGTTCCATTTATACGCTGGATTACATTTATTGATTTGCATATGTTGAACCAGCCTTGCATCCCAGGGATGAAGCCCACTTGATCATGGTGGGTAAGCTTTTTGATGTGCTGCTGGATTCGGTTTGCCAGTATTTTATTGAGGAGTTTTGCATCGATGTTCATCAGGGATATTGGTCTAAAATTCTCTTTTTTTGTTGTGTCTCTGCCAGGCTTTGGTATCAGGACGATGCTGGCCTCATAAAATGACTTAGGGAGGATTCCCTCTTTTTCTATTGATGGCAATAGTTTCAGAAAGAATGGTACCATCTCCTCTTTGTACCTCTGGTAGAATTCGGCTGTGAATCCATCTGGTCCTGGACTTTTTTTGGTTGGTAGGCTATTAATTATTGCCTCAATTTCAGAGCCTGTTATGGGTCTATTCAGGGATTCAACTTCTTCCTGGTTTTGTCTTGGGAGGGTGTATGTGTCCAGGAATTTAACCATTTCTTCTAGATTTTCTAGTTTACTTGCGTAGAGGTGTTTATAGTATTCTCTGATGGTAGTTTGTATTTCTGTGGGATCGGTGGTGATATCCCCTTTGTCATTTTTTATTGCGTCTATTTGATTCTTCTCTCTTTTCTTCTTAGTCTTCCTAGTGGTCTATCAATTTTGTTGATCATTTCAAAAAACCAGCTCCTGGATTCATTGATTTTTTGAAGGGTTTTTTGTGTCTCTATCTCCTTCAGTTCTGCTCTGATCTCAGTTATTTCTTGCCTTCTGCTAGCTTCTGAATGTGTTTGCTCTTGCTTCTCTAGTTCTTTTAATTGTGATGTTAGGTTGTCAATTTTAGATCTTTCCTGCTTTCTCTTGTGGCATTTAGTGCTATAAATTTCCCTCTACACACTGCTTTAAATGTGTCCCAGAGATTCTGGTATGTTGTGTCTTTGTTCTCATTGGTTTCAAAGAACATCTTTATTTCTGCCTTCATTTCGTTATGTACCCAGTAGTCATTCAGGAACAGGTTGTTCAGTTTCCATGTAGTTGTGTAGTTTTGAGTGAGTTTCTTAATCCTGAGTTCTAGTTTGATTGCACTGTGGTCTGAGAGACAGTTTGTAATGATTTCTGTTCTTTTACATTTGCTGAGGAGTGCTTTACTTCCAACTATGTGGAAGTAATTTTGGAATAAGTGTGATGTGGTGCTGAGAAGAATGTATATTCTTTTGATTTGGGGTGGAGAGTTCTGTAGATGTCTATTAGGTCTGCTTGGTGCAGAGCTGAGTTCAATTCCTGGATATCCTTGTTAACTTTCTGTCTCGTTGACCTTTCTAATGTTGATAGTGGGGTGTTAAAGTCTCCCATTATTATTGTGTGGGAGTCTAAGTCTCTTTGTAGATCTCTAAGGACTTGCTTTATGAATCTGGGTGCTCCTGTGTTGGGTGCATATATCTTTAGGACACTTAGCTCTTCTTGTTGAATTGATCCCTTTACCATTATGTAATGGCCTTCTTTTTCTCTTTTGATCTTTGTTGGTTTAAAGTCTGTTTTATGAGAGACTAGGATTGCAAGTCCTGCCTTTTTTTTGTTTTCCATTTGCTTCGTAGATCTTCCTCCATCCCTTTATTTTGAGCCTATGTGTGTCTCTGCATGTGAGATGGGTCTCCTGAATACAGCACACTGATGGGTCTTGACTCTTAATCCAATTTGCCAGTCTTTGTCTTTTAATTGGAGCATTTAGCCCATTTACATTTAAGGTTAATATTGTCATGTGTGAATTTGATCCTGTCATTATGATGTTAGCTGGTTATTTTGCTCGTTAGTTGATGCAGCTTCTTCCTAGCCTCGATGGTCTTTGTTTTTGCAGTGGCTGGTACTAGTTGTTCCTTTCCATGTTTAGTGCTTCCTTCAGGAGCTCTTTTAGGGCAGGCCTTGTGGTGACAAAATCTCTCAACATTTGCTTGTCTGTAAAGGATTTTATTTCTCCTTTACTTATGAAGCTTAGTTTGGCTGGATATGAAATTCTGGGTTGAAAATTCTTTCCTTTAAGAATAGTGAATATTTTTCCCCACTCTCTTCTGGCTTGTAGAGTTTCTGCCAAGAGATCTGCTGTTAGTCTGATGGGCTTCCCTTTGTGGGTAACCCGACCTTTCTCTTTGGTTGCCCTTAACATTTTTTCCTTCATTCCAGCTTTGGTGAATCTGACAGTTACCTGTCTTGGCGTTGCTCTTCTCGAGGAGTATCTTTGTGGCATTCTCTGTATTTCCTGAATTTGAATGTTGGCCTGCCTTGCTAGGTTGGGGATGTTTTCCTGGATAATATCCTGAAGAGTGTTTTCCAACTTGGTTCCATTATCCTCGTCACTTTCAGGTACACCAATCAGATGCAGATTTGGTCTTTTCACATAGTCTCATATTTCTTGGAGGCTTTGTTCATTTCTTTTTACTCTTTTTTCTCTAAGCTTCTCTTCTCGCTTCATTTCATTAATTTGATCTTGAATCACTGATACCCTTTCTTCCAGTTGATCGAATCGGCTACTGAAGCTTGTGCATGCGTCACGTAGTTCTTGCGCCATGGTTTTCAGCTCTATCAGGTCATTTAAGGACTTCTCTACACTGTTTATTCTACTTAGCCATTTATTTAATCTTTTTTGAAGGTTTTTAGCTTCTTTGTGATGGGTTCGAACTTCTTCCTTTAACTTGGAGAAGTTTGATCATCTGAAGCCTCCTCTCAACTCGTCAAAGTCATTCTCCTTCCAGCTTTGTTCCACTGCTGGCGAGGAGCTGCATTCCTTTGGAGGGGGAGAGGTGCTCTGATTTTTAGGATTTTCAGCTTTTCTGCTCTGTTTTTTCACCATCTTTGTGGTTTTATCTACCTTTGGTCTTTGATGATGGTGACGTACAGATGGGGTTTTGGTGTGGATGTCCTTTCTGTTTGTTAGTTTTCCTTCTAACAGTGAGGACCCTCAGCTGCAGGTCTGTTGGAGTTTGCTGGAGGTCCACTCCAGATCCTGTTTGCCTGGGTATCAGCAGCGGAGGCTGCAGAACAGTGAATGTTGCTGAACAGCCAATGTTGCTGCCTGATCTTTCCTCTGGAAGCTTCATTTCAGAGGGGTACCCGGCCATGTGAGGTGTCAATCTACCCCTACTCAGGGGTGCCTCCCAGTTAGGCTACTCGGGGGTCAGGGACCCACTTGAGGAGGCAGTCTGTCTGTTCTCAGATCTCAAACTCCATTCTGGGAGAACCACTACTCTCTTCAAAGCTGTCAGACAGGGACATTTAAGTCTGCAGAGGTTTCTGCTGCCTTTTGTTTGGCTATGCCCTGCCCCGAGAGGTGGAGTCTACAGAGTCAGGCAGGCCTCCTTGAGCTGCTGTGGGCTCCACCCAGTTCAAGCTTCCAGGCCGCTTTGTTTACCTACTCAAGCCTCAGCAATGACAGGCGCCCATTCCCCATCCTCGCTGCTGCCTTGCAGTTCGATCTCAGATTGCTGTGCTAGCAATGAGTGAGGCTCCGTGGGTGTGGGACCCTCCGAGCCAGGCGCAGGATATAATCTCCTGGTGTGCCGCTTGCTAAGACCATTGCAAAAGTGCAGTATTAGGGTGGGAGTGACCCGATTTTCCAGGTGCCATCTGTCACCCCTTCCCTTGGCTAGGAAAGGGAATTCCCTGACCCCTTGCGCTTCCCGGGTGAGGCAATGCCTCACCCTGGTCCGGCTCACGCTCGGTGGGCTGCACCCACTGTCCTGCCCCCACTGTCTGATAAGCCCCAGTGAGATGAACGTGGTACCTCAGTTGGAAATGCAGAAATCCCTCGTCTTCTGCGTCGCTCAGGCTGGGAGCTGTAGACTGGAGCTGTTCCTATTCGGCCATCTTGGAACTTCTTTCTGAAACTATTCTAAAATCTTTATGTATATTAAGTGATTTTATCCACTTAACAGCTCTATGAGGTAGGTACTATTATTGCTCCTATTTTAGGGATGAGGAATAGAGGCAGAGAGAGGTTAAATAACATAACTGAATTATACAGATAGTAGCAGAGCAGCATTTCCTAATTGGGGCATCTTACTCCAGAATCTCTGCTTTTATGTCCACTGTGCTCCTGCAAACCTTCTAATTCAAGAGCCTGTTTTCATATCTTTACTTCTGTAACTCACCTAAAAGTTGATCCAACAAATAATCAGGGACACAGTCAAGTATTTTGGGAGAAGAATGTTCATAGCAGCAAAACTTACAGTCATAAAATATTAGATAGAAAATAACCTATATGTCCTACAATGTAGAATGTTTAATCATGGTATAGACCATTAGGCAAGCATTAGAAATTATGATCTAGAAGAAAAATAAGTAACATGGGAAATGCTCAGTATAAAGGTCAAAGGGAAATGCAAAGATACAAACTGTGATCCTAGCAATGTGTTTGTGTGTGTGTTCAGAAAGGAAATCCATTAGTCAGACTGAGTTCCAATTCCAATCTTGACTCTGTCATTTATTACTTTTGTTACCTTGGATAATAATTTCATCCCTCTTTACCCCAGTTTTCTCATCAGAAAATTGGGATGAGTTGTTGTAAGGGTTAAAAAATTCACACATGTAAAATGCTTAAAATACTGGCTGGCAAGCACTTGACAGCTATCAAAATATAGGAAACTCTATTTAAAAATTAGAACTGAATAGTACACATTCAGATGGTAGTTTAATAAGTATTCTTTGTAGTCTAGGATCCAATATTTTATAGCTTCCTCCAATTATTTTTCCCTTTTACACTTGAAAAAATAATTGTAAGTCGAGTGAGATGAGGGGCATTTTCCATTGCAAGCAAAAAGTATTTGCTTTCAGAATCTACTTTGTCAAATTATAAGACTTACTAAACACTTAAGCAAACACTGAAGGGTTATCAAAGTTTTCTTTTTAACCAGATACCTTCTCAAGGCTGTATTCCTCATATTTTACTTTGGTTGAATACTCTTTAATTGTGAGGATTTAAAACTATTTAGAACTGTGTTTTCATGTCAGTTAGGATCAGTAAATTGAAGAAAATTACAAATTGGCTTTTGAAGAGCCTAAGGCCATATATAGTTTATTTCTCATCCATGTTTTGAAATTATCTTAATTATATTGATTTTTAAATTTCAATTTAAAAAATAGAAGTGAGCAGTTTGAATAATAGCACCCATCTATTTTGCCTCAAAGTTTTGTTTTTCTTGTCTAATTAAGAGAATAATTATTTTTAATTGATAAGTAAAAATTGTATATATTTATGGTGTATAACATGTTTCAATATATGTACACATCATGGAATGTCTAAATTGAGCTACTTAACATATGCATTATTTCACATATTTATTTGTAGTGAGAACACTTAAAATCTGTCATTAAGGAAATTCTTGAAGTCATTGGAGCTGGTCTCAGGAATAAAGCTACTGGTTCAGGGGCGTGTGACTTTCAGTGCTCTGCCCAGAATCTTCAAAGTAGAATCAATGGCTTAAGCACTTTCTTAAGAAAACGCTGGAAAATCATTGACCAAGGAAATTAGGTTATTTTGCTGCTCACACCATTAAGAATCTGGTTTCCTGGCAGGCTTTCATAGTCTTTCTTTCTCTCTCTCTCTCTCTCTGTGTGTGTGTGTGTCTCTCTCTCTCTCTCAGGTCTCCTATGTAAAAGCGATTGACATCTGGATGGCGGTGTGCCTTCTGTTTGTGTTTGCTGCCTTACTGGAATACGCAGCGGTGAACTTCGTCTCCAGGCAACACAAGGAGTTCCTGCGCCTCCGAAGAAGACAGAAGAGGCAGAATAAGGTATGATTGCCCCTCAGTTCAGACAATGTAGAGCTTGAGTTGGTTAGCTAGGCAATGTAATTCAGAAAACAGAAGAGCACACAATAAGCAAGAAGCCAAGGTTAATTTTTGTTCTGATTTGTCCTACTACACTGACTTAGTGCTCAGCTTAGGCCTTTAAAATTGGGGAGGATTGTCAGATTCAGCAAATAAAAATACATATCATGGAGTTAAACTGGAATTTCAGATAACAAGAAACAATTTTTAGTATAAGCACATACCAAATATTGCATGGGACATACTTATACTAAAAATTGTTTATCTGAAATTCGGAAGTAACTGGGCTCCCTGTATTTATCTGGCAACTCTAATTGGGGATATATACTTGATTTGACAAAGTTACTTTAAAATCCTGGTTCTTCTAAATATTGACTGTGTGTGTGTGTGTGTGTGTGTGTGTGTGTGTGTGTGTGTGTGTGTGTGTGTGCGCGCGTGCGTGCGTGTACATCACTGATCTGATTGACTTTTTTTCATCAATTGCTCTGGCTTTATGTAAATTATGCCGTACCCATGTAGATTGCAACATGATAAATCCAGTGAGACTGGCCTCATTATCTCAACTTAAACTTTAGTGCAGAATTCTAAGCTTTACACTGTCCAGAGACTTCAGGTTTGAAATGCATAGCTCAAGATCTCCAGTCCTGTGGTTCCCAAACTTGCCTGCACATTAGAATCGCCTGGGGATATTTTAAAAATCCCAAGCCTTAGACACACCTTACACCAACTAAACCTCAATGTTAGGAGGGGCACCAGCCTCTGTATTTCTGCAGCTCCCCAGGCAATTCTGGTGTGCAGACATGCTTGGAAAGCACTGTTCTGGTTTATAACCCAATCTCATAGAGGCTATCAAAAGGCTTGCACCTGTTTTCCATTTCAAACTCTGGGAGAGAAACATACCCTTTGATATGAAGAATGTTACCTCCTGTAACAATATTGCTTGAGAACTAAAGTTAACATTTTATGTACAGTAGAGAGAGAAAGATTTTTCAAAATCTGTTCCAGAAAATATTTGATAAATTAATCCTGCTGGTGAAGTAATAGTTATATGCTACTCTGTTGGAATGAAAACAAAAATATTTCACAGTCCCTATTAATGCTGCAAATACCTAGATGTAAAGCTGAATATTTGTTGTGAGACATTGCTTATATTGAGGAGTTTATGTGGGTATGAGCTCACTGAGTTCTGACTGCATCCACTGAAAGGTTTCCTGCACATACTCTGGGCTGGAAGAGATAAATCTATCCTGTTAGCTGCCCTGTCTCACTCTTCGCTACCTCTCAGGAACATTTTGTCCTGCCATAGATAAGGAAAACAAGTAAACAAGCACAAATATCCTCTTTGCTGTACATTACCTTTTAATGTTGTGCCTTTCTCAATTTTCTCCTCACTGCCTCCCTGTTGGTGCTAACGTTTCTTTAATCACATTCACAGAAGTCCAGCACACAGCAGCAAAAGTTCAGGATCACTTGTGCCACCTAGAAAATATTCTTACATTACGATGGTATTTCAACACAAAACAGTACAGAGTTAAAAGAATTCATGCTGCAACTGTCTATTGGTCAGTGGATGGTTTAAGTCCTTCAACAACTTCTTTTACATATGGTAATACTGCTCAGGTTTCCCAAACTTACCTTATCATAATGAGACTCACCTAGGACCCTTGTGAAACATACTAATTCTCAGCAAAATTCCTTTCAGATGTTGATTTATAAAGTTGGGTGGAATACAAGAATCTGTACCCTTAATAAGCACTCTAGGTGATTATTATGATGAGATAAATTTAAGAAACACTATCCTGGCTTACTGACTGCATACTCTCCTAGACCAAAGATGGAAAATGGGTTTCATTTTGCTTCCCAATTCTAAATAGTTGTTAGGGAATTTTTGAAATGCTGTGTGAAGGATTCTTAGACTGTACCTGGGCTCTGTGGGAATGAGATCTGTCATCAATTAGCAATGTCTGGCATTACATAATAACAGATATTAAAGACTAATTTTTAAAAAAGTATAACTAGCAAACAAGGGGGGTTGGATATGGAATAATAAACAGACAAAATCAATCTAAAGCACCAGCATGGCACATGTATACATATGTAACTAACCTGCACATTGTGCACATGTACCCTAAAACTTAAAGTATAATAACAAAAAAAAAAAAGAAAGAGGGAATGCAGAACCAGACAGACAAAGAGAAAGCAAATAGAGAAGTGGTAGATTAAACCCAAATATATTATAAATGCAGTAAAGAAAAATAGAATAAATACCTCTATTAAAAGACAAACATTTTCAGATGAAATTTAAAAATAAAACTCAACTTTAGTCAGCCTCCAATAGGCACACCTATAATATAAAGATAGAGAAAGCTTCAAAGTAACTGTGGATAAAGATATCTCATGCAAACACTAACCAAATAAAGCCAGTTTAGCTCCATTAATATTAGATAAAGTAGACTTTAAGACCAAAATTATTACTAGAAATAGAGATATTTCATAATCAAAATGATCACTTCAATAGGGGGATGTGATTACTATAGATATGTCTACAACGAATAACATGGCCTCAGAATACACCAAGTTTAAATTGACAGATATAAAGAAGAAATAGACAAACTCACACTCATAGTGAGGAATTGTAATATACCTCTCAGCAACTGATAGAAAAAAAGCAGACAGAAAGATCAGTAAGGATATAAAACATTTAACAACATAATTAACAAACTACACCCTCAAATGCAGTAAACATATACTTTTCAAGTCAGAAGAAACATTTTGGTATATTTATCATGAGTTGGACTATAACGCACCTCATAACAAATATCAAAACACTGAAATAATATTATCTGAGTAAATAGAATTAGGCTAAAAATCAATGGTACAAAGATAACTAGAACATCTCTATAAATTGGGAAATAACCAAATACTTCTGAAATAATTCAGGAATCAAAAAGAATTCACATTGGAAGTTAGAAAATATTTTGAATTGAAAGATAAATTGTACATATCAAAATATATGAACTGAGCTAAAGCCATGCTTAGTGAAAAATGTATACTTCAAATGCATATTTTATAAAGATGGAAAGCTGAAAACTGATTATCTAAGAATCTATTTCATGGAGACAAAATGAAGAATAAGATATTAAATCCAAAGAGTGTAGAAGGAGTGAAAAACTATGAAAAAAAACACAAAGAGCAAAAATTAATAAAATAAAAGAATGGTCCATTAAGTTTACTGATTATCTTGTCATGAATGTTTTCAAATCAGCATTTGGGAAGAACCAGATTGCAGTAGTTTAAGGTAGGTGAGGATATGGAAAAAGCAAGTATAGATTACTTGAAAATTTAGCTCTCAAAGGGAGAGAGGGTAAAACAAATTTCTGCACAATCTCACTCCCTGTCATCATTAGACTACTCACAGGTTAAATATATATATTCATTCAAAAGATGTTTATTGAGCACCTACTATGCTTAAACATGGAAAGCTGTGAATATAGTAGAGAATGAGAGGGACAAAGAAGTAGAAAATGAGGTTGAAAAATAGGTAATTTCAAGATTTATTTGCAAGCCAGTATAAAGGATTTTATTTTATTCTAAGTGATTGGAATCCACTAGTTAGTTTCAATATAGCAAATAGGCTATTGAGTGGATAGTTGTGGTGTCAAGAGTAGCAGCAGATAAGTTAGGAGGCTATTGTAGAACTATAGGTGGAAATGTTGATGGCTTAGATTATGGTATTGGTCATGAGAATGAAGGAAAGTGGTTAGGTTCAGGATTCTTTCATTTGTTCCACAAAAATTTATTTACTTCTTACTATGTGCCAGGCACTGTGTAAATCCTTAGAATACGTTGCTTCACAGGACAGAAAAAAATGCAGCCTTTTGATGAAACTTACATTCTAGTGGTTATGCTTTGGAGGTAAAACCAATAGGTCATGCTGATGCATTTTATGTGAAGAGATGAGAAGATGAATTGAATATGACTCACAGATTTTTGGCTTAAGCAACTGGGTAAGTAGTGTTACCATTTATTAAGATGGGGACTATTGTGACAAGCGCAGATTTGGAGTGGAACTTGAGTCACATTTTTATGCTCTTAAGTTCAGATGCCCATGAGACATCTCGATAGAGTTGGCAAGTAATTAGATAGAAATATATGTTCAAGAAAGGGATAAAATCTGGAAATGTATATTTGGCAGTGACCAGCAAACAGATACTGTTTTAAATCCACAAAACTAAGTGAGATTACACATTGAGATAACAGAAACAAAAAAAAAAGCTCTGAGAATGGAGCATTCCATCATTTAGAAAGCCTATCTAGAGTGGATTGGGCAGAAAAAGGAACAAAGGAAATGGTGACAAACCTTAGATATCACTTGCAATTGCCTTTACTGTGCAGGGGAACATAGAAGATGGTATGGAATAAAATGTGTGCTCATGGGGGGATATATTTTTTCCAAAATGGAAGATAAAAGAATGCATTTGGCAAAGGAAAAGGGAGGTATTCACATTGCAGTGAAAGGAGGGCATAATTTCAAGAACAAATGTCTTAAGAAGGTGAGAAAAAATAAAATTCAAAGCAAAGGGTCAGGGTTGGCATTACATGGAGACAACTATTTCACCCATTTTAATAATGACTTAAATTATTGCCAGTTCATAGATGGAGATACTGAAGCACAAAGAGGTTAAATAGCTTGCTCATTCTCATGAGCCAAGAAGTGGTGTAGTGGGTCTGAAGTGAGATACTGTGTTCCCAGAGTCTGTGTGCTTCACCATTGTACAAACAAAATGGGAGAATGACTATGGTTGCTAGCCAATTGGTATGTCCAATTATGATAGGATGTAGGAGCTCCTAACTAATAGCTCCTATCATGTCCATGAATTCTGAGGCTATCAGCTAAGAGTATGGTGGAAAAAAGAAACATAGGTTTGAGGAAGAAGGATCAAGTATTAAATAGTAGTTTGGGAGGGTAAAAAAGCCATTCCTCCAAGAAGAGTAATGGGGCAGAATGCTGAGGCAGAGGCAGTGGGAGTGCCCATATGAGAACTGTGGTTATGACTTTAAAGTGTGAACAATCAGGAGGTATGTGTTTCCCCCCAGCAAGCTTCCAGGATCAGATTCAGGTACTGAGATAACAGGTACTTCGGTTTAACTACAATTGAAGTTTTGCCAAATGAGCAGGAAAGTGAGTGGAAGACAAAGAGAAGACAATAGAGGAGTTGAAAGAAGAGAATGTAGAAGGGAAGAAGGAAGGAAGAAAGAAACCAAGAAAGGAGAAGAAGGGAGGGAGAGTGGGAGGGAGGGAGAATGGGATGGAGGGAGAGTGCGAGGGAGGGAGGGAGGGAGGGACGGAAGTGAAGTTAAGGGAGGTTGCATGGCAGTAGTTGCAGTGATGAACCAGAAATTCTAAGGTGGATAGAGAGGGGAAAACACGGAAGAGACACTGTATTCAAGAGAGAGAAAGAGAGAGACTCAAAATTAAGATTTCACAGGAAGTAAAGACAAAGATAAGGTTATGATCATAAATAAGCATGTGTGACTAAGGTTGGGTTGAGAAAAAATTATTGACAGCAAGGCAGTCCAGGAATTGGAAGGCCGAGGATGGGGTCTATTATCCATATGAATATTGAAGATCCCCCAATAAAGATGACATTAGTATGAGTGTTGGGTTGACAGGGAAATGGATGCTAAAGTCATCAACTAATAAAGGAGTACAACTAATAAAGGGTAACAGCACAGATAGGTAACAGCAGTGATAAGGAAAATCAGTAGTGAAGTCTAATGACCTGAGCTTCAGAGACGCCAAAGGATCTGGGTTTGAGGAAGGAGGAAAAAGATATGGTTTGGGCATTGCAGTGGGGAGCAAAAAGGATACCTTAGATTAAAAGATGTTTTAGAGATGCCAGTTGGCAGTTACAATCCCTGCTATGTTTATTGAGAAATGCAAGTTTGCATGTTTGACATGGAGATGTTCTTAAGTTTGTGTATGGCTATTCAGAACATAATGTTTTATTACCAAAGTTAAGTCTTGGGGGGAGTTGAAGAGCAAATCAAATCATGCTTAAGCTTTGTGGTCAAGTTTCCTAATTATCACCGATGGTTGAATTTTGAAAAAATAGGCAAGAAATATTTCCAATTATTTGTCCCTTAGGAAAGGCAGCATTTTTCAGCTTTTTAAAAAAGTCTGAACCATGGTTAGAAAAAAAAAAATGATAACAAGAGCTAACATTTATTGAGGGCTTACTATATGCCAGGTACTCTTCTAGATACTTTACATATAGTAATTCATTTAATCACCACTACAACTGTGTGAGTAATGCAATCATACAGCCCAGTTTACCTGGGAAAGTCTTGATTTAGGCCTATTTTTCCAATACCTTGTGTGATTTAGAATTTGTCCTGGATTACTCATTTTAAACAAAATGTTTTTTATTAATAGTTGCATTAAAATAAGTGGAAACGGGTTTGGTTGACCTCCACTTTATAGACCTGGATTCTGTCATAGGGTGATCCTCCGGTATAGGGGTATGCATGTGCAGTGAACGAGTTCTCACCTTAACACATGGTGAAATCGAAAAAATAATAATAATCACTACTATCCAGGCATCTTTTCTTCATATGTTCCAGATGCAGTGTCATAACTAACACTCCCTTTCCAGGATAGCTTGCGGGAGGGGAGCTTGCTTATAAAATGAAGTGCAATTGGACACCAGAGGCTGGGGACAGATGTTGCTCTCTATCAGTGATGGGTCACTGCTGCCCCTACTGGTCACTTGGGATACCAGCCTTGTTCTATGGCATGGCATGGCATGGCATGCAAAATCCATGAAGCCACCGGGCTATCACTTCATAGGGTCAGTGGGAAACATGGAAAATCACAGGTTCTGTACACATAAAAAGGAAAGAAAAACTGAGCAGTCTTGCTGTTGAGCATCTGAATGCTCATAATTGAGTGATTTTTTTCATTTTTGTATGATATAAATCCGTTTTAACTACGTTTTATTGTTTGATAAAACTTTTTTTTACTTTGCAATTGTCAACATTATAGAGTTGTAATGTCTGTCAGTGCCACTTGCCACTATCAAAATTGTCCTTGTTTGGATTAAATTGAGTAAATTAACTAATAACAATGAAGATACTGTTCTTATCTCAATTTACAGATGAGGAAACTAATGCAAAAAGAAAATAGGGTGAGGCAAGGTGAAGCAAATAGGGTGAGGCAAGTGAGTCACACAAGTACAGGGTCAGATCCTGTTTTATTTTTTATTTAATGTTTTGTTCACCATGGATTTTTTGTATTAATAATGATATTTTCAAACATTGCATTAAATATCATTTGAGTACTGGAGTTTTGGGTACCCCCTCAGATTTTGCCCCTGAGGCCTCACTTGTTTTCCCCTAGTTTGGGGCCCACCTAGTCATGAACTACTAAATTAATTTTCACAGAAATGCATTGTGGCCTGAGTTAATTTTTTTTTAATTATTTAAAAATGTTCAATATTTTGGCCGGGAGCGGTGGCTCACACTTGTAATCCCAGCACTTTGGGAGGCCGAGGTGGGTGGATCACCTGAGGGCAAGAGTTTGAGACCAGCCTGGCCAACATGTGAAACCCTGTCTCTACTAAAAATACAAAAATCAGCCAGGCATGGTGGCATGCACCTGTGGTCCCAGGAACTCATGAGGCTGAGGCAGGAGAATCACTTGAACCCGGGAGGTGGAGATTGCAGTGAGCTGAGATCACGCCACTGTACTCCAGCCTGGGCGACAGAGTGAGACTCTATCTATCTCAAAAAAAAAAAAAAAAAAAAAAAAAAAAGTAAATATTCCCAAGGCAATATGTCATCTCTTTAATTTCCTACTGAGAAACTGACCTCTGAAATAACATACAGGTTGATATTTTAGAAGGTATAACAAAAAACAAGAGCAGATCATCTCCCAAAAAGACAATGGCATTAAGCTTTATTCAGGGAAGGTATTTATTGAGAGAACACCTGAGATTACATTTACATGCATGGGAAGAGTGTCTGGTATTTACTGAGCAATCAAGTTATCAAATGGGGTCACTTTCAAGGAGTGGCCGGGCAATGTGCAACTAGGTGTATTTGCTTTGATTATCTTTTCTAGGTTTTGTAAAGCAGCCACTGTCAATTTTATCAAAACAGAGTTTCTCAGAAACAATCACGCCCAGATCTTCCCTGACAGAACTGGCCAACCCCAGTCTATTAGAAGCTGATGCCCCAGGTCTATGCAATAAAACTCTGTTTTAATGTTATCGCCTCTGCTCCAATAAGAAATATGTGCACCATGTGAAGTTATAACAACTTCTCTACAATGCAGCCTCACCTGCATTTATCTCCCACTTTCATTTTATATCTGGCTGCACCATGCCTTACTTCTGGCATTGTACCTAATTTCAAATGTTTCCAGTTACCCAGATAGCCCTGACTTCTTTTTGTTCAGCTACTAAATAGAAATTGTGGCTGCTTGAGAACATGGTTATGGCATGTGGGCCACCTAATGACAAGTTGCCTTTTACTTATTTTTCTTCTATTTTGTTTTTAATTGACACATAATAGTTGTATATATTTATGGGGTACAATGTGAGGTTTTAAGGTTTTATACATTGTATTATGATCAAATCAGGATAATTACTGTATCAATCATATGAAACACTTATTTCTTCACCAAATCATCTCTTCTAGATATTTTGAAATATACAATACATTATCATTAACGATTTTCACCCAACTGTGCAATAGAAGACCAGAACTTATTCCTCCTATCTAACTGTAACATAGTACCCACTGACTAACTTCTCCTCATCTCTCCCTCCCCCTCATTTTCTCTAGGCACTGATAACCACTATTATACTGTCTACCCCCATGAGATCAAATTTTTTAGATTCCACATATGAGTGAGATCACGTCCTTTGCAGGGACATGGATGGAGCTGCAGGGCATTATCCTCAGCAAACTAATGTAAGAACAGAAAACCAAATACCACTCATTCTCACTTCTAAGTGGGAGCTAATGATGAGAACGCAGGGACACATAGAGGGGAACAACACACACTGGGGTCTTTTGGAGGGTGGAGGGTGGAAGGACAGAGAGGATCAGGTAAAACTAATGGGTACTAGGCTTAAGACCTGGGGTGATGAAATAATCTGTACAATAATCTGTACAACAGACCCCCAGTTACAGACATGACCCTCAGTGTGGGATAGGTGAAATGTGAGAGATGGAGGTAGCGATGTCCATGAGGCAGTCCAGCACTCAGGAGAGAGGACTGGGTTGGACAGACATGCTGAGAAGTCATTAGGATATAGATGGAGGTTAAAGCTATGGAAGTGGATAAGATTACCCAGCAGGAGTGTACAGAGTGAGAAGAGAAGTGGAGGAGAAAGGTTGAGAAAGAGCAGGAAGGGGCAGGGACGGAGCAGGAAGAGGGAATGGAAGGGGAAGGCAGTGTAAGGGAAGGCAGTGTAAGGCAAGGCAGAGGGCTGAGGGCAAACTCCTGTGAGCACCAGCATATCAGAGACAGGCAGGGGGAAAGGAGCCCATGAGAGAGACAGAGAAGGTCAGACGGCTATGTAATCACTCAGAGGCTAGAAAAAGAAACATATTCAGGAAGAAAATTCATAGTATCTAAAGATGTGGAGTTCACATAAAATAAAAGCTAAGAAGCAGCCATGGATTTTAGGAAGTCAGAGGACATTGGTAACCTCAACAACAGCAGGCTCAGTGGAGAGACGGAGGCAGACACAAGATTTTAGGCAGTGTAGTAGTGAAGTGGACAGTGAGGAAGTGAGGACATTGAATGCAGCCATTTTATCCAAGAAAAAGAGGCAGAAGTGGCTGAGGAGGCATATAGGCCATGGATTTTTTTGTTGGTTGGTTGGTTCTTTTGCTTTTTATTTAGTGTTTTTTTTAATGAGCAACTTGAGTACATTTAAATGCTGATGAGAGAGTTGTTTATAGAGAGAATAATATTACTTACAGGAGTTTTGAGGAAAGGTGGGAGAGCATACTTAGGTGGAGCCACTAGCCATACCCAGTAGAAGGTATTCCTTCTGATAACTGGGAGACAAAAGAAGGAATAAGAATAAGGACATGGCAAGTTTGTGGGTGGGTGGGTAGGCGGACAGGATTTTGAAGGAATCCCCACATGATGGCATCTGATTGTTTTCTGTGACACAGGAAACACATTCATTTTCAGAGAATAAAGAGGGAGGTGACAGAGTAGGAGGTGTGAGAACAGTGGGAAAACTTTGAAATGTTTGTGAATTGCGAAATACATCACCAGGAACCCACAGAAGTTTTCTCAAGCAGGCTTAGGGTCCATCGGACGTAGGGGAAATTGGATATGTAGGGGCATCAATGTGCTGGATTCGGTGAGGTTCTCCAGAGGAGCTCAGCAGCCTAGAATAACCAGATGGTGGGTTCCACAATTGATCCAGGCAGGACTGACTGAAATAAAAATGGGCAACCCCTGGTTCAAAAACAATTAAGAATTTCAAGATGGCAACAGCAGAGCATTAAACTAAGCCTAGCACCCCTCTGTGTATGGACCCTGTGTGTCTGCACAGGTTGCATGCCCGTGAAGCCAATCTTGGATCCAAGCTGAGGGTTTTGCCAGACAGGATGGATGAATGGATAAAAATATGAATCACGTGATGGTCCAAGCAGGGTAGAGAAAGGGGGATACTGTAAAGAAGAGATGAGAATGAAAGGAGAATATTTTACACATAAGTGAAATAAATGTAAGCAATAAAATGTGGCAGTTAGCCCACTTATTTATTCTTTATTTGCAATAAAACAGTTAACTCTAGCTTTTAATTTCAATGATTCTTTATATTTCTATAGTTACCAAATTTAGTTGAAGTTCTAGTTTTGCACAGACCTTCTTAAGGGAGTTTTGCTTTACAGATTTTTTGAAGGGAGTTCAATGTTTAAATGAGAAAGAAAACTTGTATCAACTAGTGTCCTTTTTGTGTTGTTTTGTTTACTGGGGTAGACAGGCTCAGACAAATATTTCAGTGCAGAATGTTGTGTGCTGTGGGAAAGGTTTAAGTGCATGATTTAAAGTGATGACTGAGGACAAAGCATCTTCTCCACTTGGTAGTGCCAGGGAGTTGAGCCTTTGTCTGGGTCTTGACACAGGAGTAGAAATTTGCCAGGTCAAAAGGAAAATTAAGAGGATATCCAGGCTGAGGAAACGGTTATGCAGAGGTTCAGATGTTAGAAACGACATGATGCTTTCACTACATCATAAAAAGTTGAGTCAGGAAAGTGCTAAAGCATGGGGCCTAAAAGGAAGGAAGACTTCAGTTGCTCTTGAACTGGGAGCCACCAAAAGGCTTTATAAATGATAGAATGCTACAATCAGATTGGAACTGTGGAAACATCACTCTATATAGAAAGGATCAGATTGGAATAAGGCACAAGATCAGGAAAATGCTGCTTCAGCATTTCAACTTAAAAACACCCTTAATTTTATAAGTAGTCTACACTTCCCTGAAGCCCCTCCCTAGAGGCATAGATCATTATTACTATTTTGGTTTGCCTTTTTGTAATTTTGCTAGAACTAGCTTTCCAAATCTGGGATGTATATTATAAACTTACCAAAGCTTGTCTTAAGTGTGAATATAAAAGTGGCTTTCTGGTTTGAATTCTTTGCAGTAACACAGGTGTCTTATCATTGCTGTAACAAATCACTACAAACTTAATGGCTTAAAACAGGAAAAACTTATTATCTACACTTCTGTAGGTCCAAAATGGGCCTCACTAGGTTAAAATCAAGGTATTGGCAGGACTGCATTGCTTCTGGAGGGTTGTCACGGGGGTTCAAGGGATTGGGGGCCATATCAAAGAAAAAGATATGACCACGCAGGCAGTAATACACAACAAAGTTTATTGGGTGGCACTTGGACAGGGTTGCGTGAAAAGGTGGCTCCTCACAGCATGAAATGATCCAGAGGCTTAGAGACAGGGGCCACCATACAGAGAGGAGAGGACAAGGGGACTCCCAGTGGGGAGGTGAATCAGAGGGGGCTCACTTGTCTAGGTGATGTTGCTCAGCTGCACAGTGGGGGAGCCTCTGGGTCAGAGAGCTTCAAAGAGCAGCAGTGCCATGGGACCTTATAAGTGCAAGGACCAGCAGATGCTAGGCATGGTTTCGTGGGCTATGCAAAGCAGTCAGGGTCTAGATGGCTAAAAATCTGCTTGTTTAGGCTATTTTTAAAATAATGGAATGTGTAAAATTTGAGTTTGGTGCCAGCAAGCTTTGGAGATAACAGGTCTCAACCTATAGTGGGGAAATAAACAACCAAGGGGACAATACTCAGAGGCCATCTTTGGCTCATTTATATAACAGTGTTCTAGGGGAGAATCTGATTTCTTGACTTTTCCAACTTCTAGAGCTACTTACATTCCTTGGCTCATAGTCCCCTTTCTCCAAAGGGGAAAGTTGTTCAAAGCCATAACATTGCATTTCTCTGACCCTTCTTCCATTGCCATGTGTACCTCTGACCACAGTTGAGAAAGGTTCTCCATTTCTAAGAGTCATGTGATTAAGTTGTGAGCACGTAGATCATCTAGGGCCCTCTCCCCATCCTTAGTTTCTTAATCACATCTGCAAAGCCCCTCTGCTTTGTAGGATAACATATTCACAGGTTCCAAGGATTAGGACACAGACATCTTTGGTAGGCATTATCCTGCCTGCCACAAACAGCAATGGTTTCCACTGCAACTCTGAGAGCATCCGTTGGGCACTGTAGCATGCTCCATGCACACTCAGGACAGTCCAGAAGTACCAGGAGGTGAATGCTACAGGAGTGGCCCTCAACCAATGAGAACTGGGAGTTGGTGGCCAAATACCAAGCTTCCTCAACCCTTGGTAAGTCAAGTCTCAGTCTCTCAGAGGTTTGAGCCCCATTTGGCAACCATGGTCACCTGCTGATTATTCACACATCCTTTATTGACTTTTCTCCTTTCCTTGTCCTACACTTCCCCACTCCCTCACCACACTCCTGTTGTTGCCTCCCAAGTAAACCTCTTGCATGCAATCCCTCATCTCAGGGTTGCTTTGGAGAGAACAAAAACAAACTAAGGTGCAATGCCTCCTAGGCCAAGGACCTCATGAGAATCACAACCCACTGAACCCCATCCTCGGCCTCCCCACTAAACACCAGATTCTGGAGGACTTTTTGTGCCTAAAGTGTGGAAACAGAGGGAATCTAGGAGCAGCAAGTGTCAAACAATGGTTTATTGTACCTTACAGTTGGCATTGCTAAAATATTTCTGTGCTGCTGAGCTTCTAAAATAGGTTTCATAACACAATTCTATTGCTTTATGTCCCTGAAATCAAGCCTGTGCCTTCAGCTCTACTAGTGTTTCATAAAGGCTATGATGGCAGATACCTTGAACCTTCTTCTTTCACTATCTAGCTCTTAATTGGTGTAAGATTCTTTTTTTCCACTTTAAAATCCAGATCCTGCACAATGGTTTAAGATTCTTGATGGCAACTTGAGCTGTAGTTATTTCAGCATAACTGGACTCTCATAAAAAGATCGAGCTAAATGACAGAAAAGTCTGGTGCTTCCTTGGCATTACATCAGAGATGTGGGTTTGCCTAATCATAGTAGTAATTTGTCTCTATCACTGTTATTCTTGTTTTTAACAAGCTGATTTGGGGACAATATGCTTAAATGGAGTTATTTCCCACCTGATTGATGAGGCAGCATCAGACGCGAGTATAACCGTTTATAAAATAAATGACCTTGGCTCTGTGCAGGAGTGGGTAAAAGGAAACGACCCCTGCCTTCTTAGTTTTCATTCTAAGCTGCTAGACAATCCTAGATTTCATTTCTTCAACAAATAGTTTTTGAATGCTTGCCTTGTACAGTGTTTTGTTTTAGATAAGGGGCAGATAAAAAAAACTGCTTGAAACCTGTTTTCACAAAATTTTAGAGGTCAATATCAGAAAAAAAGTACAAAAATGTTCTAATATGAGGTAGAGAATTTTAAGAACCATAAGAGAGTTATAGTTGGAGCTGTGGCAATTCCCAGGAAGGGAGAGTATAGTGTACTTCCAGCTCTTAAGGAGGGAGGAGATTCTCAAGAAAGAAGCAGCATTTGTAAAGTTCATTTTATCTTAGAATGTTAACTGTAAGTTATTCTAAACTCATCTTGTTATTGTCAGTAAATGAAACAGAGATTAAATAATTAAATAGGTAATGAAAACTACATTCTTTAAGGTGGCATTTAATGCTCATTAGAAAGTAGCCTTATCCTGCCTTGCTGATACACATTTACATCAGATGAACCTGGAGAGCTTCCCACTCCAAGACCTTCAAGAGGAAAGTGAGAGTCAGTGACACGGAAGCTTTGTTTGATCTAAGGCAGTGGTTCTCAGCCAGGAGCTATTTTTCCCCACCCCAGGGGACATTTGGCAATGTATGGAGGCGTTTTTAGTTCTCACAACTTGGGGTTGGGGACTGTGTGTGTTGCTGAACTCTAATGAGTAGAGACCAAGGATGCTGCTAAACATCCTACAGTGCACAGGATGGTGCCCATAGCAAAGAATCATCTGACCCGAATATGGATAGTGTCAAGTTTGAAAAACCCTAATCTAAGGGACAGAAGCATGCTGTGCACACAGAGGACTGAGGTTTAGCTTCATGAGTGCAAGCTGCTTATGAATAAAGATGTCACTCCTGTCAGGAGTAATTAATTAGAGCTAGTATAACCCAGTTGACAAAATAGTCAGAAAAACCTTTCATTAAGAATTTCCTCTTTTGTAAGTGAACTCTTTTACTCTACATAAAGTTCTTTTTATTTACATCATATAGCAAATCAGGGATCCAAAATATGGTTCTTTGTACTGGTAATGAACAGGGGCATGAATTTTGTTGGGTGTATGATTTAATTGCTTTTCAAAATGTTGACATGTTGACATGGGTGTAAAAACATCAGGAGGTTAAGTTATTAAATGCCTCCACTTCATTCCACTCTATCTGCTGCTGCTAGGATTTGTTCAAGAGCAACAGAAGTCATACCAGAAATGAGCTCTGGTATTTTCTAGAAACAAGGTAACCCATTACAGCATGGTTCTCAATCCTGGTTACACACTAGAGACACCTGGGAGCTTTTTAAAATCTAAATGCCCAGACCCCACCTCAGACCATTAAATCAGAATATTTAGGTGTAGAGCCCAGACATCTTGGTTTTATAAGGCTTCCCAGGTGGTTGCAATGTGAAGCCAAGTTTGAGAACCTTGCTTCTTTAAATGTCATCTGTTGACCAGCAGCATCAGCATCACCTACAGCTTGCTAGAAATGCAGCCTCTCAGGCCCTACCCCAGACGTGTGGAATCAAAAATAACAGGATTCTCAGGAGATTCACTAGCACATTAAAGCTTGAGAAGTGCTGCTCTAGAATATATCGCAGAGAGTCCACTTTTAAATTGTATGCATGTTGCAATATGCACAGTCTAAAACAAGGCATACTATTACTATTAAGACATGGTAAAAAGCTCCAAAGCTTTAAATAGAATTATTTTCACTTGGTAAGAAATATTAAGTTTATTACTGTGGCTGCTTGTGTTTTGCACTAAATTTTATTTTTAATTGTGAAAGATTTCAATCATATAGAGTAATTTAACCCTATGTTGCTTGTTGTTTTGTTTCTCTCAAGAAGAGTAATCACTAAGTAGCCTAGGATTATCATTCTGGTATTAGGAGCCAAATGGGAACCCCATGAAAGACCTTTTCCTATAACTGAGAAGGTTCCTTCTCAGCTCTGTGTTCACATACACAAGGAGGAAATGATCTGAAATGGCATGTAACAGGATCCATGATAGAGTGAGGAGCTTCACCTTTGTTAACAAGATTGAACAGTGCACACATGCATTGTAGTAAAACAATAATTCTAAATAGTCATACAACTTCATTCTGGAAAGCACAAAATGCTTCAAATTATGGTAGTTTGGCAGTGATATCTCCACAGGGAGTTTATAAGGTTTGCTGAATGTCGTACAGCCAATTCCTGACTGCCAGACCTGAGACGCCTTAATTCAACACAGAATCATTGAATGTTCTTTCACACTTCCTGTCTTTTAGGGCAGATTGATTAAAATAAAACTTACAAAAATACCTGTCTTAAAGTCAGCCTTCTTCATCCCAGCCAAGTACCCTATCCTGTCAATATGTTTCATTACAGCACCATTTCCTGGAATTACTGCCATTGAATTCCCGTCCTCTTAATAACATATACTTTTTCTCTCCAAAACATGCAAAAAAGAATATGAGAGAGAAGCATGACATAGTGACACATGCTTAGGGCCAGGAGTCCAGCTGGCTGAATCTAAATCCTGGCTGGTGCTTTATTTGCTGGGTGATTAGAGTCATGGCCTAACCACTCTGGGTCTCAGTTTCTTCATCTGTAGAAAGAGTCTAATAAAGTCCTTTCTCATGGGCTGCTGTTAGGAGCAAGCAAGATTATGCACGTGAAGAACAGTGCCTTGCATACAGCCAATACTTATGAAGTATTTCCTTTCTCTTCCTTTCGCCTGCTTTTTGACATGAGAATATTGCATGATACAGAGTTTGGAGCATGAATCCCTTCACCCTGGTAGTGAGCTTAGAACCTGATAGGTAGTTTTTTAACCCACCCCCCACCCTCCACCCTCTAAAAAAACCAAAAAACAACAACAAAGAAAATATCATGGTATATCCTGCTTTGTAAAAGTAAATACTACTTTGTGAAACTTTTGTTGCCATTAGATATATTAATGTGTGTGGAAGTGTGTGTATGTGTGTCCTGGTTAGTAATGGAAAATATGTTTTCCTACTTTGACAGCAAAAAAGGTGTGTGTGTGTGTGTGCACGCGCGCGTGTTGCATGCACTGTTAGATGACAGTCTTTATTTTTTTTCTAGCTTTAAGGTATAATTGACAATTAGAAATCATATATATTTAAGGTATACGACTTGATGATTTGATATATGTATACACTGTGAAATAATCACCATGATTAAACTAATTAACATGTCCATCATCTCACATTGTTACCAGTTTCTTTTTTTTCCTTCCTTTCTACCTTCTTTCCTTCCCTCCCTCCTTCTTTCTTTCATGAGAACACTAAAGATCTACCCCCTTAGCAAATTTCAAGTATACAATACAGTATTGTTAACTATAGTCACATTGTTGTACATTAGATCTCCAGAGCTTATTCATCTCACAGAACTGAAACTTTGTATCCCTTGACCAACATCTTCCCCTTTCCCCTCACTCTATCTCTTGGCAACCACCATTCTACTCTCTGCTTCTGTGAGTTTGATTATTTTAGATTCCACATATAAGTGAGAACCTGCAGTATTTCACAGCAAAAAGTTTTGAAGGCCAGTGCTCTCAGGGTGGATCAGGCCAGGTAAACAAATTCACCTGACCATCTCAGGCTTAAACCTTCTCACATACCCTCAAGAGGCAGTCACAGACACAGTAGGAGGGGTCATTTGGTTGCCATGATGACAGGGACAGGAGGTATATGTTGCACTAACTATATTGCACCTCACTAAAACTTGCTAAGCCCTCGCTTTTGTTTGACCAGCCCACACTCACACGCCACCTGAGTATTATGATGCCCATGACCCAGTGGGCTCATCACTCCGTGACCTGCCTTCAGAGTTCAAGCTGTGTCATCCTCAGCTGGACACAACATCTGCCCAATTATACAGCACACAGCTGGGAGAAAAGAGAGACATCAGGCCAGGCGCGGTGGCTCACGTCTGTAATCCCAGCACTTTGGGAGGCCGAGGTGGGCGGATGGCCTGGGGTCAGGAGTTTGAGACCAGCCTGACCAACATGGAGAAACCCCGTCTCTACTAAAAATACAAAATTAGCCGGGCACGGTGGCTCATGCCTGTAATCCCAGCTACTCGGGAAGCTGAGGCAGGAGAATCACTTGAACCTGGGAGGCGGAGGTTGCGGTGAGCCGAGATCGCGCCATTGCACTCTAGTCTGGGCAACAAGAGAGAAACTCCGTCTCCACACAAAAAGAAAAAAAAAAGAGAGAGAGACAGCAACTCAGGAGTTAAGTCCATTTTCTATGAAAATATATCGTCTTAGAACCATATCAGGTTTTCCTTTTTGCCTCTGATTATAACTATTGTATTGACATCTTTGAAAACGAAAGGGAGAGCTGGGCCCAGTGGTGCATGCCTGTAATCCCTGCTACTTGAGTGGCTGAGATGGGAGGATCACGTAGGCCAGCAGTTCAAGGCTGCAGTGAGCTATGATCACGGCACTGCACTGCAGCCCGGACAACAGAGCAAGACCCTGTCTCTTTAAAAAGGAGTAGGGAAGGGCTACAGACCCCCCATCATGTGCCAAATACTGTGTTACATACCTTCATGCACACTTTCTTAACTAGAAACTCAGCTGGTCAACAATTAGATCAACAGATACTGGCATTATTTTCCCATAGTGACCAATCTGTCTTCTGTGTTTACTTCAATCAATCTTCCCTCTGGGCCTACAGACAAGTTTTCTCTCTGAAATATTAAATCTGGTAACCGTAATAATGAAGCAGAGAAAAGAGGAACTCTTGGAAATGCACTACAGATACTCCACCAAACAAACTCTCATTTTATCCATAATTTTCCATTTTTTTCCAGCAAGAGTTGCGTATAAGAAGCTATAAGCGACAGTGAACAAACAAATGGTTGCAGGGAAAGCATAAGGGAGCTAGGACAGAGATGATCTGCAAAGCTAAATCAATCATAAGCCAGAATAATGGAGCATAGACTGTGTTTCTGGTTCACTCTGCTGCTTTGATCTGCAGTCCAATGCTCTACCTCTGAGCTATACCCCCTCCTTACTCTGCTGCTTTGAATGTCCTTGAGAGAAGCAATAGGAAAGTGCCTCCTGATGGTTTACAGTGTTCACCTGCTTCGGTAACTGCTAATTTTAAACCAGAACCTACAGTCCATATTCATTAAAGAAGAGCTAGCTTACCAACATCATTCAAATTCAGGAGATAAGATTGGCCAGAGAAAGCAGGTTTATAGTTTTTCACCTGGAGAAACACATTTGTTCTGCAGCTGTGGAAAGCAATGACATGATGGCCCATAGATGTCTCTCTCCTCAGGACATGCCTCACTGCCCCTCTGCTAGAAACCTCCTAACACTTCTCCAAGTCACACCTGGGCGATTTCATCATGAACCTAACCTGTCTCTTCTAAGTTGGCAGGAAGACATCGAGGGCCAGACCAAATATAGATCTGATCCTAGTGATTGAGTTCTCAGTTCTTGAGTTTACTGAGCCCCCTGCAGAAACAAACAACTCACCAAACTTCCACTGCAAACAGCATTGACTTTCATCCCTCTGAGCTACTTCCAGCAGAAATTGAGCAGTAAGAGGGAAGAGGGGAAAGAAAGCAGTGGCTATCTGGAAGGTTGATATCATTGCTTGAAGCCTCTAGGCTATCAAAACAATATAATAAAGACAGGCCTCTGTGAACACCATGTGTCAGCCTCTAAAAGGACATACATTCATTATTTACATAATGTGAGGTAACATGTTACTATATCAGGAGTTTTCTTATTCTATATTCTATATTTTATATATTCTATATTAGAGTCATCTTCAAAATTATAACAGCAGCAAAGGGACTTGTTGCCTAATTAAAACCCTTAAAAATGATGAAATAAAATATTATGTACGTCAAAGATAATTGAAAGAGGAAAATATGCCTGAACTGAACTGTTGTTACGGTTGATTATATTAGAACAGGGTTTCTCAAAACTGGACTAGAAACTTCTGAGAGATTATGGAGGGCCATAGCAGGACATAGCTTATCAAATACATCTTTCCTGAACTTGGGTCAGCACCTTCAATGTGGTTTACCCTCTTAGACTTCTTAACTTAGCAGTTTTTACACACAGAGACTCCATAAATAGAAGAGATATAAATTTTCACCTAGTCCCCTAACCCATTCAACATTTCCAACAAATGGCTGAATACTTGACTATTTCTAGCAATGGTGAGTTCATTACCTTCCAAGGTGGTATGTTCCATGTTCAGTCACAGAGTTGTTAAAAGTTCATCCTCATATAGAGTTGAATTCTGTCTCCCTGTAATATCAACCAACAGTCTCTGATTAGTTTCCTTGGAGCCATTAATACAAATATGAGTGAACTCAAAAGAGCCCTTCATTCTTTTGAAAATACTTGTCATATCAGCCAGGCTTATCTCTTCTCAAGGCCAGCCTTTTGTTGTTCCTTCTATTCTTGTTCCTTTTATGCTTCCTCATGTGTTGTCACTTTCAGGAACATTCACCACCCTGGGAGGGTTCCCTTGCCCCCAAACTTATTCTCAATCTGTCCTGTTTGTATCTCATAATCCTACCCCTTTTTCTATCCAGTGACCCAGGGACAACTGTTTATAAATTGGAATATCAATGAGATTCTCTCTTTCAAGAATTCAAACAGAGGTTCTGATACGCTAATTAGATGACAGTGAGGACTTGAGTTGAACAGTTTCACATAGAGCTGAGGCGGTGTGGGCCTGATTGGAACATGAATGATTATGGGAACCTGGTAAGAGAAGAGCAGAAATTGGAGAGAGCATGAGCCCTGAGAAATTGAGAACACTCTCACTTCCTGACTTGCTCATTGGAGCTCCTGGGCTAGATAGCCCTGTGTATACCATCATGCTAACATTTATTGAGCATACACTATATACCAGGCATGTAAACTTTTAATGTACATTTCCCTGAATCTTCTCAAAAAACCCTCTAAGGAAGGAGATATCATCTCTATTTTACTACAAAAGAGACTGAGGCACGTAGTAAGTGACTTACCCAGTTCCCACAATGGTTAGTGGCAGAGCCAAGATTTGAAACCAGAGTTTTCGCTCCAGAGCCCAGGCTTC
The DNA here is from genome assembly GCF_000001405.40 of Homo sapiens. NCBI lineage: Eukaryota > Metazoa > Chordata > Mammalia > Primates > Hominidae > Homo > Homo sapiens. Next base: position 14,711,823 of record NC_000023.11, read on the forward strand.
TCACCTTTACAGGGCATTGCTTCCCTATCCTTGGAAACTTATGAGATTATCTTACAATAATTTTCTTATAATAATTCCTTAAAGACAGTTCCATTTATTTAAGCTACTATGAGTGAGTTTCTGTCCTTTGTAACAAATCTTCCGCGATTAAGATGCCAGATGGTTAAAAGATACCAACTAATGGCCAAATGGCAGAGGCAGTGCATTTTGTCATGTTATTATAGAAAAAAATGCCATCTAGCTTTCCTTCAATTGCCTTGGCATAACATTACCTTTTCCATAGTATCTGGTGGTCTGTTCCTTTGCCAGAGCAGATATCACATTATATTATAGTCATTTGTCTGTATCAGGGTTTCCCAACCTTAGCACTGTTGAGATTTGATGCTAGATAATTCATGCTTTGTGGTGGGGGCTGTCTTGTGCATTGCAGGATGTTCAGCAGTATCCTGGCCTCTATCCACTAGATGCCAGTAAAACACCCTCTCCCAGTTGTGACAACCAAAATGTCTCCAGACATTGCCAAATATCCCCTAGGGGGCAAAAATGACCCTAGTTGAGAATCACTCGTCTACATGTTCTAGATCCTCTCCACTAATCGCACACTGACTTCAAGTGCAGGATTTTGTCTTCTTTATCCTTGTTTCTGTCCAACGCTTGGTACATTAAGATAATCACTCTTAATTGAAAAAAAAAAAACTATAGTTGCTTGCATTAAAGTGGCGTTTTGTAGTTAAAAGTCTGGAGTAACTGTACACCTGTATCCATCTGGGTATAGTCATGAAGACAAAGACATTAAAAGTAGTACCAAAATCAAGGGTTTAATATAGAAATTAGGCTTTATATGAATGTGGGGGAGTAACTGGGGGGGTTAAGGTCTAAAAGGCAATAGTCAAAGGATGGGACTTAACATGAAGTTCTGAGTAGAAAACCAAGTGTTCACAGAAAAATCTGAGAAGTCACCAGGTCTAGGCACCAAAGTAAGATCATAAAGTGGGAGTCCACAGAAAGGTCTAGCCACCGTGTCTAACAAAGCAGCCTCTTCTGACCCCAATGATTCCCAAAAGTAATAGCCTCTGCTTCCTTTCTGCTTTCCAGATCTTCCAAGTTTCTCTTACTGAAAAATCCTAACCTGCAACCAATCCAGAAGAGAATTCTGGGAAATATAGTTCTTCCCAGCCTTAGGCAGATGCCTAAGGAGTGGTGGTGCCAGATAAACAACAGATAATCCCATACAATAACCACTTTGGCACCAAGTGTGTGGATATATATAGAGAGAGAAGTTGAAGCACGATAAAGATCTAGAGAATTTGGCAGTCAGAATCATCCAAGTTAGTAAACAAGCAAATGCTTGATGTGATTTGTCACTGATGCTGTTATTATTGTTTTGAGTTTAGTAGTGGGTTCATCCCCTAATCACCTGACCCCTCCAGTCTCAACATTCACCTTGCACCCTGAACAGATGGCAAATGATATTAATAATCAAACAGCTCATACTCCAGATGGAAGATGTTCACCTTCATGCTTCTTAGAATTTTGTGTGTCTTTTGAGCACTCTAGCTAGAGCAGAATTGACAGAAACTGCTGTGAAAGAATTTCCATATGCAAGGCATTGCTTCTCTTATGAGGAATTGAAATATCACAGCCATATTATCCATTTCTAAACTACTCTCTAAGGCTACAGATGACATTAAATAAAAACATTTCTGCTTGATAGATTTTGAACAGAAAGCCAAACAACTATTTTTAAACAATTACTTCTAGTCCATTTAAAATGTGGTGCTGTAGGTGAGGTATGATCCAAAGAAGAGTGAAAAATATATTTCACTATAGAAAATTCTATTCAAAATATACATTGAAAAGACAAAGACTTCAGAGTTTGCATGGCCCACAAAGCCTAAAATGTTGACTATCTAGCCCTTTACAGAAAATGTTTGCTGACTCCTGGGCTAGAGGGAGAACAGCAGGAGTTAAGGTCTGAGAGGTAAAGGGGATGTTACAAGGACTTATGAGGAGAACCACTGGAGAGTTTTGAGCTGAAGATGACCTGATTTGACTGGAAATTTAACAGAATCCATTTATTTGCTATGTTGAAAATAGACACTATTGTTGGGAGGACAGGTCTAGAAGCCAGCAGACCATGTAGATGACTACTGCAATAATTCTGGTGGGAATTATCCTGATGAGCCACCAAGGGGTGGCTCAGACCAGCATGTAGTGTTGGAGATGGCAAGAAGTTATTAGGTTCTGGTTTGAAGCTTGAACTGATTCTATTTCCTGGTTTGAAGCTTGAACTGATTCTATTTCCTGATACTAGATATATTGCATAGCCCCACATAGGTGTAGGGGAGGCTAGAATATTCAGACTTTCCACGTACACATTTATGACCAGCCAAAACAGGGGTTCTCAAGTAGGGTTGATTTACTCATCCAGGAGACACTTGGCAATGTCTTGAGACATTTTTGGTGTCACAGTTCAGGGGCGGGGTGCTACTGGCATCTAGTGGGTAAAGGCCATGTAGGCTGCTAAACATCCTGAAATGCAAAGCTCAGTTCCCAAGAACAAATAATTATCTAGCCCCAAGTATCAATATTCCTGCAGGTAAGCAACCTTGAACTAAAGAAAGATCCACCATTATGAGAAGAAATAAAGAATGGGTTTTGGTGGTAACTAGGAGTTGTATAGCCCAACTCAACTCCCTATGCCGCCACCCCAGCCATTTACAGGCTGTGGCAACATCAGTTCCAAGATTTCTGCTCATACCACAACTGAGTTCTGTTTGTTCTCCCCTGCCCATACATTTTCCCCACTACTGGGGGTGAAGTCTGTCATGAATAAGAGGCCCTACTGGCATTTTTAAATGCATGAGGCTTGTAAAAATAACATGTGTGATCAAGGCAATGAAGGTGATGTTGTATAATGATAGCTAAATAGTACAAAGCACCACAGTGCAGGTATTAATTTGTTTTAAGAGATTTATGAAGAGAATATTCCATTAATTAGAATTTTAAGACTTAAAAACGGATGTTTGGTAATTACTATAGATTTACAGGGATTTTGCTTTCCTTGCTAAACCCAAATGAATAGAATATGAGTTCAAATACCCTAATGTTATACAAATACTCCTTAGTCTTTTGCTATGGGTGTTAACTGATAAGATCGAAATTTATTTGGTAAAATATTTGAATATATCTAATATGTATTGACTTTTAACTAGCTTTATTATTTTGAATTGTAAACACATACATAAATGAAAAAAAGTCTTTATATTCTAAAATTTTTGTCTATTCCATTTGTTTTCCTTGCAAATAAGTATGCACTTTCTTTTAAGATTCTTAACAGGGTGAATCTAATTTTCACACTATGTGGCTGCTCACGAGCTTAATACTTGGCCAAAAAAATGGACGGTGTTTCAAAAATAGAAAACCTCAGTTATTGAGTGACATTGTTAAGCTTAGGTTTGCCCTAATTTTATATAAATCCAGTATGCAAAAATAAGCCATATGGTAAATAAGCAAGGAAATGACTTTTCAAGTTACAAAATACTTTTTTCATATTACCATTCACTTAAGCCTTTACTTTATACATATATGCATTCAATGTAGGAAGATTCAGCCAAGTATTATTCTAGGCACTGGGGATATCAAAATATGTCAGAACGGGCCCCTGCACTTGAAAGTTACATGAAAGAGGCAGACACGTAAATAGTTGAATTTAATATGATGCAGTAGATTCCATTATGGAGACATGTACTACAGGAGGTAAGGAGGAACCCATGGCTCAGGATCAGGGGTCAAGAAAAGGCATTCTGAATAGAATAATGGCAGAGTAGAATCTTAAAAGACTTGAAGGAGTTTACCAGGTAAAAAGAGGTGAGGATTATTCTATATAAAGGGAAGCAGTTTATAGTCAAAGGTCATGTAATCCTATGAGAGAAGTAGGTGTAAGGCAGGACATGGGGGTCCTTGAATGTCACACAAAGGAGCTTGGGAGTGGTCATTAAGGAGATGAGAAACTGTTGAAAAGTATTAAGTCTTGAAATGGAAGCAATGGTCCAACGGCATCTATTCCACTAAAGTAGAAGGCAGGGATAGCTCCATAATCTGCGTAGCACAGTGCAAAATTAAAATGTAGGTCCCTTGTTTAAAAATTATTATGAATGTCAACATGGCTATAGCAGAGCATTAAGCCAAGCACAGGACCCTTCTAAGCACTGGGCACTGTGTGACTGTATAGTATGCATACTCACGAAGCTGACCCTGTCAGAAGGTCTCAGGGCCGGGGTTGAAAGAAGACAATAAAACCCTTATTTGCATGTGTCTACTCCCTGGTTGGGAAGAAAAATCTTAAATATATCAACCAGCTAGAGATTAGTCTCAAGGCAACATACTAGCCAGCATTATAGTCCTATACCCACAAATTCAGAAAATGGCCAAATGTCCTATCTCTTCATTTTAAAGATGAGGAAATTGAAGAACAAAAAAAAATTGAGGGACTGTCCCAACCTCACACATCTAGGTTATAGTAAAGATGTGAATTCAACCAAAGCCTTTCAGATTCTAGCCCAGTGATTTCCTCTGTTCCTCTGCAATATCCAGTCTATTTAAAGTGAGTAGAAGAGGATGGAAGTCCTTTGAGGGAAGAGATTGATCCAGAGGCTGCAGAAAGGACTACAATTGGTAAAGAGAGAGTTATCTGCCAGGAGACAACTGCTGTCCTCTCCCTTCCCCCAGGGAGCACGACTTTTCTGTGTCCTTACTTAGAATTAAGAGGATCACTACAAACACAATTATTGAGTAATGATTAGGAACCAGGCAATGTACTCTAGAGAATAGGGCTACAGAGTTAATTTTGACATGCTCCCAGGAGCTCACCCCTCTGGTGAGCAAAGATAATAGTGAAAATCAGCTATCAAAACCCAGAGTCCTTGGGCATCTATCCTTTAATATGAATGGGAAGCAATATTAAAGAAAATAATAAAAAGAAAAATGGAAATTAATACCTAAAACCAATAGGTAACTAGAAAGTCTTTTTCAGAATAGGAGAATCATGGATGATTTGCACATCGCCTTGTATGTCTCAGCAGTGTTACCATCAGTACCTTCACCAACTCTGGAGACTTCAGGCTAAACTGAACCCCAATAAACCTTTGTACATATCTCAAAAATATGCCTCCTATTATACTCTATTTCGTTATTTATGCCCCCTTCAAAAAAAGCAACAACAAATCTGACGTGTCCAAAGTTTAGAAGTATATCTTAATTATGTGCTTCCAGAGCCAAGTCCAGTGCCTGCCCTATAATAGGAGCTTCTTTATTCAACATTACTGCCGATGGTCAATAAATTGAATGGATTGACAGATGAGGTCAGTGTAACTGGGGGCACCCTCCAAGTGGAGGGCCTGGGTACAGAGAGAAGCTTTCAGTGCATCAAGGTGAGAGAAGCAGGGTCAGCCACATCCAAGAGATACTTCTGCCATTTCACTCTTCTTTTATCCTTCTGCCAATTTCTTCACTTAAGAAAGTAAAAAAAAAAAAAAAAGTAGATATCAAGTCCTTTACCTAGGCTTAATTCTTATATATACTCCTACACACAGTTTTACCTCTCATTGATCATTTTAAATTGAAATAATTAAACTACCTTATAGGACACGGGCTCACTTTTCTAACCAGGTCAGGTTTTGATTGCATTCATTCACAATCTTTACCTGTGCATAAGCCTGCTCTAATATTTATTTGTAGAGATCATCTTTCTTTCTTAAGTTTATTTTGTCATAGAGTTGTATATAGTTATGAGTACATTCAACTCTGTGGAATGCAGATATTATAGAAAAGGTTAAGTATAAATCACTTTATATGGAGTACATCATGAATTAGATGAGCTTGGATTTACTAGCAACTGGAAGATCCTTCTGTAAAGTAAAAAAAAAAAAAAAAACCCATCGGTCAATAAACAAGGATTTATCAAGAATTTTTTGAGCACGCATTAGATTACTCAGTTATGAATCCAATTTCAAAGAAATCATCCACTGATTTATTGCTTTTATATGGTTCAGATACTTATTTTGAAAGGAAGCACACTTGTGTTTGGTTTTATAACAGAGGAGAGATAGGCTGATGAGTAAATGTGATTCTCTGAAATGGTACCCCTGAGAATGTCGTCGGGTACGACATTGGTTTCCTGCTAATGTATCATTACTGAGATGAAGTCAAGATGTTTATTTTTCAAGCAGAAGTTACATTCTCTATCAATATGACATTACATTATAGTGCTGCTAGTTCTTCAGGGATATGATTGATTCCTATAGTAGGGTGGATATAGGAGCCTTAGGCAGTGATGCTGTATCTCAAGTGACTAAGATAAGATACAGGCAGCTCACTGCACAGAGAGCCACTAGCCAGTTTACCTAGCATGACTTACAGAGCAGTTTTCACCAACACTGTACTTAGACTGGCATTTTTAGTCCTACTTTTAAATTTGAAAAGCCAACCAGTGGTCAATCAGGAACACATTCAATCCCATATATTTGTAATATTTATCTTACTTTATGGCAGGAATTCTAGGTTTAGATAACTAGCTATTGAAAGTGTAATATTTGGCACAACGATGACTCAAATAGCCTGTTCCAGTTACTGTGCTGAATAAACCACTTCAAACTTATTGGCACAAAACAACCATCTTACTATGCTCAGGAATTTGTAAAAGGCAGAGTAGGAATGACTTGTCTCTACTACATGATGTCTGACATATTAGCTCAGACGATTCAAAGACACATGATTATTTGACAGCTAGGAGTCAGTCATCTGTAGACTTGTTTGTCCACATGTCTGGTGCCTAGGCTAGGAAAACTCTAAGACTAAGACTGCTCATCAGAGTGCCTACACATAGTCTTTCCATGTGGCTTGACTTCCTCACAGCATGGCAGCCTCAGGGTAGTTGGATTTTTTATATGGTGTCCCAAGACTCCAGGCCCAAGTGCACCAGTGAACATGGCAAGGCTGCATTGCCTTTTATGAACTAACATTGGAAGTCATACAGTGTCATCTTCACTGCATTCTATTACTTACAAGCAAACATAAGCCTGCCCAGATTCAAAGGGAGGGGACATAGACCCCTAACTCTCAGTAGGAAGAGCTTCAAAGTCACAATGAAGAAACCATGTGAATGGGACATATTGTTGTGGCCATCTTTGACAAATACATTTTGCCACAGTCCACCCTCTTCGCACAACAATTCACATCCCTCCCACGTGCAAAATATGCTCACTCCCTTTTCCAAGACCACCAATATTAAATGCACACCTACAGGAATAGTAAAATAGAAAGCTGTTTTTTGTTATTGGTGTTTTATTTTATTTTCTGGGTAAGGGGAAATAATTAATGACCTATAAAAGACTTCAATGGGTGAAACATTGATTACAGGTATTGAACTAAAATGTAGCTCAACCTGAAGAATAGGAGAAGACACTTTCAAACTCTTCATCCAATAAGGGATCAATATCAAAAATATACAAGGAGCTCAAACAACTCAACAGCAAAAAATCCAAATAATCCAATTTAAAAATGGAAAAAGTATCTGAATAGACATTTCTCAAAAGAAGACATACAAATGACCAACAGGTATATGAAAGAATGCTGAACATCACTAGTCATCAGAGAAAAGCAAATCAAAATCACAATGAGATATCATCTCACCCCAGTTAGAATAGCTATTATCAAAAAGACAAAAAATAACAAATGCTAGCAAAAATACAGAAGAAAGGGAACTCTTATATACTGTTGGTGGGAATGTACATTAATACAGCCATTATGGAAAACAGTATAGCTCAAAAGGCTAAAAATAGAAATACCATATAATCCAGCAATCCCAATACTGGCTCTATATCCAAAGGAAAGGAAAACAGTATGTTAAAGAGATATCTGCACTCCCATATTTACTGCAGCACTATTTACAAAAGACAAGACATAAAATCAACATACATATCCATCAACAGATAAATGGATAAAGAAAATGTAGTGTTCATACATAATGGAGTACTATTCAGTCTTAAAAAAATCAAATCCTGTCATTAATAGTATGGATGAGTCTGGAGGACATTATGTTAAGGGAAATAAGTCAGGCAGAAAAAGAGAAATACTACAATTTCTCATTTTTGGGAGCTGAAAAAGTAGATCTCATAGAGGTAGAGGGTAGAATAGTGGTTACTAGAGGAAGAGAAGGGTAGAAAGGAGTGAGGAATAGGGACAGTTTGATTAACAGATACAGAAGTACAGCTACATAAGAAGAACAAGTTTCAGTATTCTATAGCACTACAGTAAACAATAATTTATTGTATTTTTTTCAAAGAGCTAGAAGAGAGGATTTTGAATGTTATCAACACAACACAGTGATTAAGTTTTGAGGTGATTTATATACTAATTAACTTGATTTGATCATTACACATTGTACACGTGTATTGAAATACCACCCTTACCTCATAAACATGTACAATTATGTGTCCATTAAAATATATTTAAAAATTTAAATGTAGCTCAAAACTCAGGATCTCATCATGTAAGTCAAATGAAGCATCTCAGGTTAAGCATTTTGGATACAGTTAAAAATGAAAACCTGGGAACTAAAGAGACAAGGTATCTGCTCCACTTACTCAACAGACAATATGGAGACATACAGAGGATAACTGTTATAGACTCTTCCATTCAAAAATAGGGGGAACAAGAGGCACACAGCAGTCACTAGTTAACAGGAATTCTGAGACCTAGAAAGGTCCATGTTGGAAGATCCTTGTTTGGGGGATATATTCCTTGGTTGTCCTCTCTAGTTTTTGGGTCTGCTCTCTGGACTCTTATTCTGCTATTTGAAACATCTTTCTTTTTCTATAAGAAGGGGCACTTGTTTGCCACTGAGTAACCTTTTTAGTCTATTTATTGTCTTTAAAAGATTAGGAGTCTAAAGACCTCCTTTCATTTTATACTATCTTTGTTGTTTTCAGTCCAAACATACAATTCCTTAAAAACTGTTGGGGGCAGGGCTGGGCATGTTGGCTCATGCCTGTCATTCCAGCATTTTAGGAGACCAAGATGGGAGGATTGCTTGAGTCCAGGAGTTTGGGACCAGCCTGGACAATATAGTGAGACCCCCACCTCTACAAAAAAATTAGCCAGACATGGTGGCACATGACCCGTCCACCTTGGGAGGCTAAGGCAGGAGGATCACTTGAGTCTGGGTAGTCGAGGCTGCAGTGAGCTGTGATCATGGCACTGCACTTCCAGCCTTGGTGACAGAGTGTGACCCTGTCTCAAAAAAAAAAAAAAAAAAATACTGTTGGGGTTTATATATAAATTTATAATCCACTTCATTAGACAAAAGCTATACTCACAAATATTTTCAAGATAAACCCTGTTTTAGTTAGGAGGATTACGTTTTAGAGATGTATTGCATAGCATGGTGACTATAGTTAATAATAATGTACATTTCAAAATTGCTAAAAGAATAGATTTTAAGTGTTCTCACCACAAAAAATGATTAGTATGTGAAGTAATGGATATGTTAATTACCTTGAGTTAATCATTCCACAACAAAACACTACATTATACTCCATAAATATATACAATTATTATTTATCAATTATAAGCCCTTGTTATCTTAGGCTCCCTGTGAGTATGCTGTGTGGCCCAACACCCTTAATATTCGTAGAAGCTTATTGTTTAGAGGAGACAATCTGTAAGGCATGTTCTTATGATCCTTATAAGACCTATTGCCTGTCTGAAAGAGCTTATCAGGTACTGCTTTAGATATTTCTCAGGTTTTAACAAAGAATCGTACAGTCCCACCCTGTATATGATTTTTTCCCCTGAGGCCTGTTCTGATTTGAGGACCCTTCGCAGGCTGAAAAGACTTATTCTGGATCCTTTACATTTCCTCCAACTTCTACTTGGACACTTAATGGCCTGTTCTTCAGTTCTTTGTCCTCTCTCAGTTTGGTATCAGCAGCTAAAAGCCAAGCAGCATCCTCAGTGCTCTATCTGGAAATCTCCTTAGGTAGATGATGAGGTTTATTAAGTATATTTTCTATTTTCCATGTTACCACAGGAAACAATGTTGGTAAACTTTTCCCCATCCTCCAGCTTTCCACAGCAATTGCCTTTCTTTCCTCCCAGTCTTCCAACAACCTCCTTGAGGGCCTTCCAGCTTCTGCCTGCTGCCTGGTCCCAAAGATAATGCCACAACATTTCAGTTTTTGATACAGCATCAATTATCTGTGTAGCTATCTATTACTGCATAATAAATCATCCAACATCTTAGTGGCTTAAAACGATAACAAGCAGTTCATTATCTCTCACACTTTCTGTGTGTTAAGAATTTGGGAAGATCTCAGCTAGGCAGTTGTGGTTCGGGGTCTCTCCTCTTGGTGCAGTCAGACAGTAACTGGGGCTGGAACAGCTGGGAGTTGGGCAGGCATCATTCTTTCTTCATGTACTCACAGGGCTTTTCCATGTGATTTCTCCACATGGGCTACTTTGAGTTCTTCATAGCATGGTGGTCTCAGGGCAGTCAGACAGTTGACATGGTGGCTCATGGTTCCAAGCACACCAGGATTGGAGCTTCATCACTTTTTATGACCTAGACTTAGAAGTTACTTAGTGTCACTTCCACCAAATTCTGTTGATTAGGAGCAAGTCACAAGCCCACTTAGACTCAAGTGGAGGGGATACAGACCCCATGTCTCAATGGAAAGAGTGTCAATGATAATACTGTTAAGAAAAAAGCATATGGGATGGGAGATATTGTTGTGGCTATCTTTGGCAAACACAATATAATACAGTCTGTGACTTCTATATGACATATGGAAGCATGCAGAGGAGAAAGAAGTGGGAACTGCTTCTCTTCTCTTTGCCTTGCCAACATGCCACTATGCTATCCACAGACCAGTTTGAGAGGGCCCTGCAGAATGAGTGTAGGGGATCCCACCAGCTGACCTAAACCATGGCTACTCCATAAAGCTTCCTTTGGAATACTTAGCTGACATGCAGAATGATACTTATAATTTCATTTTATCCTCAGCATCAGAGCAAAGATTTATTCTGAATCCAAAATTATTTACAAGTATTGCCTTATCTGGGTAAAACTTGAAAAGTATTTAAAAGAATAATTTTAACTGTATTGGCTAATGGCTGATTTTAGCATAAGTCACCTTCAGTATTTTTTGTCTTGCAAACAGTTTGGGGTTGAAAAGAAAGACTGCCAGTCATGCATTAAAATATAACCAAGTGTATGCCTCCAGCTGAGATCTCTCTGAGTTACAGACTGTCCATTGCAATCAATCACCTACCCCATGTATCTATTCGAATGTCTCAAGTGCACCTCAATCGTATTATTTTCCCCAAACTTAATGTGATCCTCTTTTGGTGTCTTCTTTCTCATTGAATGGCATTAATATCCATCTAGTGGTTTAAGCTGGAGGTTAACCTTGACAATTTCCAATCCATCTCTAAGACCTGTTGATTGCCCCTCTATGTCTCTAGTTGGCACATTGCTCTCTACCTATACCACCACCCATTAAATCCAAATCATTATCATCTCTCATCTGGACCATTGCTGTAGCTTTGTAACTTCTTGGATTCACTTTTGCGTTCCTCTAGGCAGTCATCCACATGGCAACCAAAGTGATTTATTTCAATATGCTGATCTGGTTATGTCATGCAATCTCCATTAAAAGCCAGTTATGGCTCCCCTTGGTTCTCAAAATAAAGCTTCATCAGACACTGGTTTACAGGGCCCTATATGATGTAGCCCCTGGTTCATTTCTGAAACATTGTCTCACTCCACACTCCCCCTGTATTCCAGGCCTCAGTTGCATCCCTCAATTGCAGCAAACCCTCCTATCTCAGACATTGCCAAACCCTGCCTTCACCTCTTTAATGCCTCTCATTTTTTAAATCTCTAATGAAATATCACTTCCTAGGGGAAAAGCTTCTCTTATCTGTCAGATTAGACCAGGACCCCATTTAGTAAGCTCTCATAGCATCTTATAATTTTCCTTCAGAGCCCTTATCATAGTTAGTAATTATGTATTCATGTGATTACTTTATTGTTTCCCTTCATCTCAAGGTTGCAAACTCCTTGAAGGCAAGAATCAAATCTATTTTGCTCTCCACTGGATCCCCGGCACATAGCACAGTGCCTGGCATCTCTGCAAGCCTTTTCCAACCACTCAATCTAAAACACTCCCTTCTATGCCACTTGCCTAAGTCTCTTACCTTAACTGTTTATTTTTTTCCAAAGCACCCATCATTATCTGTGTGTGTCTTGTGTGTATATGCATTCGTATATGTATATGTGTGTATATGTATAAATATGTTTGTGTGTGTGTATAATTTGTTTACTTGTTACTGTTTCCCCCTCTAGAATGTAAATTCCAAAAAATCAGAGACTTTTGTATTCTTGTTCATTGCTGTAACTCTACCACGTACCTGGCACATAATAGGTACTCAATAAATATTTGTTAAAAATGTGAGAAATAAGCCAGGCATGGTGGCTCACACCTGTAATCCCAGCACTTTGGGAGGCCGAAGCGGGTGCATCACCGGAAGTCAGGAGTTTGAGACCAGCCTGGCCAAAATGGTAAAACCCCGTCTCTACTAAAAATACAAAAATTAGCTGGACATGGTGGTGGGCACCTGTAATCCCAGCTACTCGGGAGGCTGAAGCAGGAGAATCACTTGAACCCAGGAGGCAGAGGTTGCAGTGAGATGAGATCACACCACTGCACTCCAACCTGGGTGACAAAAGCAAAACTCTGTCTCAAAAAAAAAAAAAAAAAAAAAAAAAACAAGAAGAAGAATGGCAGTTGCTCAATAAATAAATCCTGGAAGTTTCTTCTTTAAAAATCAATGATAAAAATATGCTGCACTGAGAAAGAGATAATACATTGACATGTTTTTCTTTTGGAAAAATTGCCTTTCACAATCTGCCCAAAATGACACTTTGACAGTTTTAATTCATTTCAGCACATGTCATTAAGCAACAAGGGGCTATATTTGGTTTAGTTTATTTCAACTTTGTTGTTCTGCAAAGCTCAGTCAGATTCTTCATTCATAATCTTGAATGGAAGCCATTTGGGATTTGATAATGGAAGCCATTTGGGATTTGATAGGGGCAAAAACGTACACAAATCAAACCCAGAGACTTTGGAATCAGTTTTAGAATCAGACAGACCTGGATTTGAATCTCAGCTTCAACATTTATTAGCACTATAACTATAGGAAGCCACATAACTTTTCTTGGCCTCAGTTTCCCCAAGAAATATGTGACTTGAAAGATCAATTCAGTAACAGGACTGACCATGGTTTTAAGTGAATGGTACAGACTCTTAATAAATGCTATCCATTTATTATTCATGTCTATTCCCAAAGTACCCATGATACAAAGGAGGAAATTGAAGCCTTAACAGTTGAAGAAAATTTCCCAAGGCCATTCCTCTTATATCCAGGTCTGTGATTAAGCATCATTCAACCATCATTTGCTTGGGAGATTTTTTCAGTGAAAACCCACTGTATTTGGACACATATTGCTTCCTAAGACAGACTGGAGAGTCCATTATGTCCTTGCATTGAGTGAGACTCACTACAACCTTCAGTTCCAACTGAGAAATTTCCTGTCCCAACAGAAAGGAGGCTCAGTCCAATAAAAAAATCTGGGTGAGAAATGCGATGGAAAGATTTTTAGGAGTCCTTTTACTTCCTCCTTTCTCAAGAATAAAAGAAAAATTACAAATATAGACTCTGCTAAAATCTTTTCATCTGTAAGTGCCATGTTCTTTAATTATATTGAAATCATTTGCTTATGACAAACAATTCACTACAATGCAACTCCAGTGAGCTTTAGGTCAATTTCCCATCTAGACAAGAATTATTCTAAACACAGGAATGAGCAAATTTTACAATAAGTAAAACTGATGCATAAAATACATAAAATTAGATAATAAATTTCAAGCAAATTGCACAGTGCCATGGCAGTGCTTTATACAGCAGACGGGATTAAGGAGATCTTATCAAAGTGCGATATAAAAATTGCATGTGTTGAAACCTTGACTGGATGATTCATTTTCTGTGAGAATTTAACTAATCAGTGAATAACAAAAGAGGGTCAGCTAGAAGTGCTTATTGCTCAGTTACTAAAGATGGAAGATGATGGATAATTAATTGAGTTTCTGGCTAATCAGAAGAAATGGAGAATATATGCCTAAAATTAATTATTTCCTTACTGGAAGGACCTAACTGAGTCTACCTGTAAATATGCTCAACTCAGCTGTGGCTACAGATTGTTCTTTATTTTAGTTTCAGTTTATCCATGACTCAAGCTCATTTCATATAGGAATCTTGTCATATTACCATAACATTTTATTCTGAACCTGCTAGAAAGGCAATTAGTCATTTATTATAACACAAAAAAATTCAAATTGGTTGCAGTTATGTTTTCAGAATCAAAACCATCTCCTTTGATGTGAATACCATAAAGTTCTATATTTAAAAGGCATTGAATGCATCATAATGGTAAATAAGAAGACCCTTAAACTAGCATTCATACCTCCTGCACATAAAACCTTAAATGGATAATTTTTACTCACAACAGGTTTATTTTTGTGGCAGAGAATTTTAAAGAATTGATTAAATTAGCTATAACTATGCTCAGAAGCATAATTTGAAATAGTGTTGAATGAATGAGGAAAGTATTTTCAAGCATAGGGAAAACCCTCTTAAAATTCCCTTTTGTTCATTATTCAGCAAACATTTATTAAGCCCCCACAGTTTGCATGACGATGTACAATATAATGAGATTCTAACCTGACATCCTTCTATTCTAGCTCTGTTAATTGAATGAGTTAATCTTTTTAGCTGTCCATTCACAGTATGTGATGAAAGACTATAGAAATTAAATGAATGAGTCAATCTGAAAAGACACGTGGACATGTATATTTAAGTTTCCTTTTGTGTGCTAAAAATAGTTTACTACCTACATACCCTTTCTATTTCTTTAGGGGCTTCAGAATTTAAAAGAACATTATCTTACTGAGGCGGTGAACTATATGCTTAATCATGAGTTTCTAAAGGTTTATAGAGGTGAGAGCTGTAATTTGCAAGATTCTGCAGATACGCAAAGGAAAAAAACAGCACAGTAAATTTGAGCAGATAAGGAGAAAGGTATTTTGAGGGGTTGTTTCTATTTCAATAGTAACTTTAGACTTAAAAATATAGAATAGGTTGTACATTTTAGAGATGGACATCGGAACTCATCTAGACCAGTGGTTTCCAACATTTTACATTAGAGTCACTGGATCTTTAAAAAAAATAGACCCTAAGTTCTCATCCCCAGAGACTGGTCTAGAAAGGGCTGGGAGGGGAGGCAGGCATACATGTATTTGTAAAAGTTCCCCAGCAGCCAGAGCTGAAACCCACAGATCCCAGCTCAGCCTTGACATTATTGGCATGAGGTCCCTGAGGCTTTGAAAGAATAAGTAGCTTGCCTAAGGTCAACACAGCTTATAAGCCTTGGAGCAGGCACAGAACAGAAATATCCAAATTCCCAGAGCGGATCTCTCTTTACTAAACCAACTGGCATCATTTCTACTTCACACTGGTTGAGATCTAATTACCAATTAGTAGTAGTTGGGAAGTCCAAGACTGCCTATAACAAGTCCCCTCCTCCTAATGACCTGTATGTGCTTCCTTTTCTTGCTAAGCACTGAGTAAGTCTTCAGATAGTTATGAGGACACTGATGACACTGTAATAATTAATATATCCAGTTATTCCACATTTTGAAAGGCTTCACTTATTTAAAACTTTTGCATCCATAAAATATTCATATTTTTAAGGCAAAGAAAACAGGTTTAATATTTGAATCTGAGTCCCACTTTAAGTCTTCATTATCGAGTTTATATAACTGAGCACATGGAAGTACTCCGATGTTAGGCTGGATTTTGTTTGCTGACTTCCTTATATGATAATACCTTTAGTTTGGCCCCTTCCACCAGATTCTGAAAGTTCCATGCAGATAGAGCCCTTGTCCAACTTCATCAATTGTCTCCCAGCACCTAGTACAATGCTTGTCACAGAGGCAACACTCAACAATTAATGGTTGAATTAAAAATCCTTTATTATATTTTGTTAAGAAATGAGACAGAGTGCCTTTAGCCAACTTGTGTAGGATAATCCCATATAAATAAAAGTATGGAAAGATGGCTTTATAAAGTAGTAGTTTTATAGTTACTTTTTAAAGACCTTTGGTCTGATTTTTGTGATATAATGGTCTGATTAAAGGTTACAACTAGGCCGAGGCAGGAAAATCACGTGAGCCCAGGAGTTCAAGACCAGCCTTAGCAACATAGTGGGACCCCGTCTCTACAAAAAGTTAAACAAAAAATTAGCTGGGCATGGTGGCTCATACCTGTAGTCCCAGCTACTCAGGGGTCTGAGGCGGGAGGATCACTTGAGCCCAGGAGGTTGAGACTGCAGTGAGCCGTGATCATGCCAGTTCACCCCAGCCTGGGCAACAGAGTGAGACTGTCTCAAAAAATAATAATAATAAAGGTTATAATTAATTTTTTATTGGAAGCACTAGGTGCAGTCATTAATAAAACCTACTAATGTATCAAGCAAATGAGGTTTCTGTTTTCCCACCTGATTTTCCTAGAGATCAAATTTACATGGCGAAGGATGACATGGAATATTTGGCAATTATTCACACTTGCTATCTCTCCAGCTCAAATTCCAAGTCATTGCCAGGTTGCAATGGAATGTTCAGCCATGTTTAGGGCTGGCTTCACCAGAGATACTGTATCACAATGGGCAATGTCGATAAATCAAAAGCCTCAAGGACTGCGTTGAACTCTTCTTCATTTTCAGGCTGCATGTATCTCCCACAAAGGGAGGTGGCACCTGGGTACTACACTAATTTAGCTAAATGAGCCACATAGAAGCAAATCTGTTCTGCCTTGCAGGTTCTGCAGCTTCCCCTCTGAGCACGTATACTATAATCTAATCTACCTATTCTGAAGTCCTTGCACCACTCTTTAAACTGTTACCTGCTCTTTCACTCCCCATTTTGCACATGATCAAGTGTAATTAACTGAAATAGTTCTTCTCACCTTCCTTACCTCTCCAGGGATCTGCTGTTGAACTTACAAAACTCATTTAAGTACACAAGGTACAAATTGTCCTTGTTGTACCATTTGAGTTTTACTTAGGCTGTCATTCATATTATAAGTCCTTCATTTAGTATACCTTTTATATGTGGATGAAGACACTACTGACATTCAGTAAGCATTAATGAAATAAAGTTAATACCAAGTTTCCTTGTCTTTTGGGAAACATAACCATTATTATTATCTGGCAAGATAAAGAGTTTAGTGCCTCTGGTGACTCAGAGGAGTTGCATGTTATTGTGGAAGGCAGTAATCTAGTTACAGAAGAAGATAATTCAATTGATGGCTGTTTACAGTTAAGTCATTTCAATCCCAGCTTTTCAACCCCACCTTTTCAACCCCACCGTTTGACCCCCTCCTTTGACCCAAACACATACCCAGATCCCATACATTTTTCTCTAAGGCTATTTGTCCTTTACACCAAGGAATAAATACAATTTTTCAGACTTTTATCTAATTTATGTAGAAATAATCATACAAATATCACTGACATCAGCTAAAATGACACATTTAAATATGGTAGAAATGATTCACCAGCCAAATAATCAATGTTAAAAATCAACACTGGAAAAATTAAATTATTAATGAATATTTAATCTCTGCTATATAAATGAGATGAACTAGAGGGCTGGAGGGGGAACAGGTATATATATAAGGGGCTCACCTTAGATGTAACATCAACATTAAACCTAATGTTAATGGGGGAATTGCGCTGTGAATGAACCACAATACTATAGGTTCCTTAGGGCCAGGCACACAGCACAGGCTCAGTAAATGTTTTCTGAATGAATGAATGAATGAATGAATGGTCCTCTTCATAGACTTACAGTGTAACACTGGGATTTGGAGAACTGCTTTAAAATCTCTATTCATATCTAGGGATTAATAAACTAGATTTTGGGAAAGTCAGTACTGAATATAATGTAGGTGTTTCTGTTTGTTAATTAATTAAAATGACCACAGTCATTATTCTTACCCTTAATTTCTCAGTCTGAAAAGTTAATCAACTGTATCTGTTCCATGAATAATTGAGTTGAACTTGAAAGAGAACTCGCTATTCCAAAAGCCTCCCACACCACCAGTTAACTGTGATTTATCCTTTTACTTCTAAAGAATTTTAAGCATCTTCCATCTAACTTGACTGACAACCAATCTGTGCTTCCTCTGTCTTTATTCCGTCAGGAAGAAGACGTTACTCGTGAAAGTCGTTTTAATTTTAGCGGTTATGGGATGGGTCACTGCCTCCAAGTGAAAGATGGAACAGCTGTCAAGGCCACACCTGCCAACCCACTCCCACAACCGCCAAAAGATGGAGATGCTATCAAGAAGAAGTTTGTGGACCGGGCAAAAAGGATTGACACGATATCTCGAGCTGCCTTCCCATTGGCCTTCCTCATTTTCAACATCTTTTACTGGATCACATACAAGATCATTCGGCATGAAGATGTCCACAAGAAATAGATGTGCCCTACAGACCCTGGGACCTTCTTGCCTCAGTGTTGTGCTTGTAAATACACAGTGAAATTGTCTTTATATCACTTTGACAGAGGAGAAGATTGAGGGAGGGGGGAGGGAGGGTCATGGGGGTGGGTTTCCTGGCACCTACATGAAAAAAAAGACAAGTTATATGGGTGATGAAGAAAACTGCACAAAATTAAGGGGTTGCAGAATCACGGGAGCATAATAATTCCCTTCCATAATCTTTAGCATTGTTCTTTCAGTCAGACATGATATGCGCAACATTCAGACATGATATGCGCATCATTCAGACATGATATGCGGGGTCAAGTTCTTAAGGGCTGTTTGCCTTTTGGTCCTTTTGGTTTGGTTTGGCTTTGACTAATTCTGGTACTGAAAAGTTAGCTATACACACACACACACACACACACACACACACACACACACACACACACACACACACACACAAACTTCAAAAATGCTTAACCATCTGACCATAGTGACTAGCCTATAGTGAGTCGAGGACCAAACTTTTTCAGGAAAATGCTGCCTCGTTTTTAAAACAAGCCTCCTAAGCTATGTTCTTTACAATGTCTGTAATTAGTGTTTCACTTGAGAAAGCCTTTTGTGGGTCGTAAATTATTTCTACTTATCCAGTAAATAACAATGACAAAATAAACACCAATGACAGAAAAATTTCTACTTTACTGTCCATATAGGTGTGCATTTTAATATTTTTCTTTCCAAGATAAAATTTTGAAACTTAAATTGTGTATTGTGTAATTAATTTGATAGTGTACCCTCTTAATAAATGCCCACTTTATTTTATATCCAAGTTAGTGCATTATATATATATTTTTGCTTTGGCTATATTTACACGTGACTTTAATCGCCCAACTGTGACTAGTCATTGCAGCTACTCAGCTACAGTATTTATGGAGATGGTGTGTCCTGAACAGTGTAGCTCAGGTCAGCTTGAACTTTCCATTTCTGCTCTCATTGTAGGTGTAACTACTAGTCCTAATGTCAACTGACCCATGATTTCTACTGTCAGTCAATATAAGTGAACATTGTTTTAAATATCCTTAACTAACTTAAAGAATTTTAAAATTGTACTGTGATTTTCATAACCCGTTGCCTTTTTGGTACCAGAGCTACGTGGTTTGAATTCTGGCTACATGTTTTAAGTAAGAAAAAAAAAGACGTATTTTTGCTTACTCAGATAAAAGACAACCTGTAAAAATATAATAATTAAATTTTACATGTGCTGTACAAGGGGTTATTTTAAAAAGCATTTGTTCAATTTCAATAAAGCTAAGTGTGCCGCAAACTTCTCTAGAGGCTTTCGTTTTCATTTTTGAATTAAAATGTAGATATTTACTTTATCTCATTTTTTTATTTGAAAATTTTTCTTATTATACTTTAAGTTCTGGGATACATTTGCAGAACGTGCAGGTTTGTTACATAGGTATACACGTGCCATGGTGGTTTTCTGCACCCATCAACCCATCATCTACACTAGGCATTTCTCCTAATGCTATCCTTCCCCTAGCCCCCGACCCCCCCGACAGGCCCTGGTGTGTGATGTTCCCCTCCCTGACTCCATGTGTTCTCATTGTTCGACTCCCACTTATGAGTGAGAACATGCGGTGTTTGTTTTTCTGTTCCTGTGTTACTTTGCTGAGAATGGTGGTTTCCAGCTTCAGCCATATCCCTGCAAAGGACATGAACTCATCCTTTTTTATGGCTGCATAGTATTCCATGGTGTATATGTGCCACATTTTCTTTATCCAGTCTATCATTGATGGGCATTTGGGTTAGTTCCAAGTCTTGGCTATTGTAAATAGTGCTGCAATAAATATATGTGTGCATGTATCTTTATAGCAGAATGATTTATAATCCTTTGGGTATATACCAGTAATGGGATTGCTGGGTCAAATGGTATTTCTGGTTCTAGATCCTTGAGGAATTGCCACACTGACTTCCACAATGGTTGAATTAATTTACACTCCCACCAACAATGTAAAAGCATTCCTTTTTCTCCACATCTTCTCCAGCACCTGTTGTTTCCTGACTTTTTAATGATCGCTATTTTAACTGGTGTGAGATGGTATCCCATTGTGATTTTGATCTGCATTTCTCTAATGACCAGTGATGATGAGCTTTTTTTCATGTTTGTTGGCCACATAAATATCTTCTTTTGAGAAGTGTCTGTTCATATCCTTTGCCCACTTTTTGATGGGGTTGATTTTTTCCTGTAAATTTGTTTAAGTTATTTGTAGATTCTGGATATTAGCCCTTTGTCAGATGGCTAGATTGCAAAAATTTTCTCCCATTCTGTAGGTTGCCTGTTGATTCTGATGATATTTTCTTTTGCTGTGCAGGAGCTCTTTAGTTTAATTAGATCCCGTTTGTCAATTTTGGCTTTTGTTGCCATTGCTTTTGGTGTTTTAGTCATGAAGTCTTTGCCCATGCCTATGTCCTGAATGGTATCACCTAGATTTTCTTCTAGGGCTTTTATGGTTTTAGGTCTTACGTTTAAGTCTTTAATCCATCTTAATTTTTTTATAAGGTGTAAAGAAGGGGTCCAGTTTCAGTTTTCTGCAAGTGGCTAGCCAGTTTTCCGAACACCAATTATTAGAGAATCCTTTCCCCATTTCTTGTTTTTGGCAGGTTTGTCAAAGATCAGATGGTTGTAGATGTGTGGTATTATTTCTGAGGGCTCTGTTCTGTTCCATTGGTCTAGATCTCTGTTTTGGTACCAGTACCATGCTGTTATGGTTACTGTAGCCTTGTAGTATAGTTTGAAGTCAGGTAGCATGATGCCTCCAGCTTTGTTCTTTTTGCTTAGGATTGTCTTGGCTATATGGGCTCTTTTTTGGTTCCATATGAAATTTAAAGTAGTTTTTTCTAATTCTGTGAAGAAAGTCATTGGTAGCTTGATGGGGATAGTATTGAATCTATGAATTACTTTGGGCAGTATGGCCATTTTCATGATATTGACTCTTTCAATCAATGAGCATGGAATGTTTTTCCATTTGTGTCCTCTCTCATTTCCTTGAGCAGTGGTTTATAGTTCTCCTTGAAGAGGTCCTTCACATCCCTTGTAAGTTGTATTCCTAGGTATCTTGTTCTCTTTGTAGCAATTGTCAATGGGAGTTAATTCATCATTTGACTCTCTGTTTATCTATTATTGATGTATAGGAATGCTTGTGATTTTTGCACATTGATTTTGTATCCTGAGATTTTGCTGAAGTTGCTTATCAGCATAAGGAGATTTTGGGCTGAGACAGTGGGGTTTTCTAAATACACAATCATGTCATCTGCAAACAGAGACAATTTGACTTCCTCTCTTCCTGTTTGAATACCCATTATTTCTTTCTCTTGCCTGATTGCCTTGGCCAGAACTTCCAATACTATGTTGAATAGGACCCATGGTTTTATTTTTTAATTAAACATTTTAATATGTTTATTTTGAGAAATGAGTATTAAGTATTTTAATATTCTTTTATGTATATCTACTGTATTTCAAAAAAATGTTTAAAATAAATACCAGAAGGCAATAATTTGCCTGAAGACCTGTCTCATCAAAAAGAGAAACTGAAATTTTAACCAAACAATTTTACCTTTAGAGCATGTGTCCTGTTAAAGTAAATGGAGACCAGGCCTGAAGAATCCTTGGGAAGACAAAGCCAGTTAGTCCTCATAAATGACCTTAACCTTGCTTGATTTGCAAACATAAACAAAAGTTAACTTGGACTATTTCTTATAAATGCCTATGTTAGAGAAACAAAATGAAACTTAAGGGTAACCATTCAGAAGCCACCAATTAACTTATATAACTTTACAATTTGGTATGTTTTTGCAGTGACTGGCACTGGTTTTTCCTTTCCCTATTTAGTGCTTCCTTCAGGAGCTCTGGTAAGGCAGGCCTGGTGGTGACAAAATCTCTCAGCATTTGCTTGTCTGTAAAGGATTTTATTTCTCCTTCACTTATGAAGCTTAGTTTGGCTGGATACGAAATTCTGGGTTGAAAATTCTTTTCTTTAAGCATGCTGAATATTGGCCCCCACTCTCTTCTGGTTTGTAGGGTTTCTTTAGAGAGATCCACTGTTAGTCTGATGGGCTTCCCTTTGTGGGTAACCCAACCTTTCTCTCTGGCTGCCCTTAACATTTTTTCTTTCATTTCAACCTTGGTGAATCTGATGATTATGTGTCTTGGGGTTGCTCTTCTCGAGGAGTATCTTTGTGGTGTTCTCTGTATTTCCTGAATTTGAATGTTGGCCTGTCATGCTAGATTGGGGAAGCTCTCCTGGATGATATCCTGAAGAGTGTTTTCCAACTTGGTTCCATTCTCCCCATCAATTTCAGGTACACCAATCAAACGTAGATTTGGTGTTTTCACATAGTCCCATATTTCTTGGAGGCTTTGTTCGGTTTTTTTTTTTTCATTCTTTTTTCTCTAATCTTTTTGACACCCTTTATTTCATTAAGTTGATCTTCAATCTCTGATATCCTTTCTTCTACTTGATCACTTTGGCTATTGATGCTTGTGTATACTTCACGAAGTTCTCATGCTGTGTTCTTCAGCTCCATCAGGTCATTTATGTTCTTCTCTAAACTGGTTATTCTAGTTAGCAATTCCTCTAACCTTTTTTTCAAGGCTCTTAGCTTCCTTGCATTGGGTTAGAACATGCTCCTTTAGCTCAGAGGAGTTTGTTATTACCCGCCTTCTGAAGCCTACTTCTGTCAATTCATCAAACTCATTCTCTCTCCAGTTTTGTTTCCTTGCTGGCAAGGAGTTGTGATCCTTTGGCAGAGAAGAGGCATTCTGTTTTTCGGAATTTTCAGCCTTTTTGCACTGTTTTTTCCTCATCTTCATGGATTTATCTACCTTTGGTCTTTGATGTTGGTGTCCTTCGGATGGGGTTTCTGTGTGGATGTCCTTTTTGTTGATGTTGATGCTATTCCTTTTTGTTTGTTAGTCGTCCTTCTAACAGTCAGGACCCTCTGCTGCAGGTCTGCTGGAGTTTCCTGGAGGTCCACTCCAGACCCTGTTTGCCTGGGTATCACCAGCAGAGGCTGCAGAACAGCAAAGACTGCTGCCTGTTCCTTCCTCTGGAAGCTTCGTCCCAGAGGGGCACCTGCCAGATGCCAGCCGGAGCTCTCCTGCATGAGGTGTCTGTTGACCCCTGCTGGGAGGTATCTCCCAGTCAGGAGGCACAGAGGTCAGGGAACCACTTGAGGAGGCAGTCTGTCGCTTAGCAGAGCTAGAGCGCTGTGCTGGGAGATCTGCTGCTCTCTTCAGAGCTGGCAGGCAGGAACATTTAAGTCTGCTGAAGTGCGCCCACAGCCGCCCCTTCTCCCAGGCGCTGTGTCCCAGGGAGATGGGAGTTTTATCTATAAGCCCCTGACTGAGGCTGCTGCCTTTCTTTCAGAGATCCCCTGCCCAGAGAGGAGGAATCTAGAGAGGCAGTCTGGCTAGAGCAGCTTGGCTGAGGTGCGGTGGGCTCTACCCAGTTCAAACTTCCCTGTGACTTTGTTTACACTGTGAGGGGAAAACCGCCTACTCAAGCCTCAGTAATGGCGGACACCCCTCCCCACACCAAGCTCGAGCATCCCAGGTCAACTTCAGACTGCTGTGCTGGCATTGAGAATTTCAAGCTGGTGGATCTTAGCATGCTGGGCTCCGTGGGGGTGGAATCTGCTGAGCTAGACCACTTGGCTCCCTGGCTTCAGCCCCCTTTCCAGTGGAGTGAACTATTCTGTCTTGCTGGCATTCCAGGCACCACTGGGGTATGAAAAAAAAAAACTCCTACAGCTAGCTTGGTGTCTGCCCAAATGGCCGCCCAGTTTAGTGCTTGAAACCCAGGGCCCTGGTGGTGTAGGCATCCAAGGGAATCTCCTGGTCTGTGGGTTGTGAAGACCATGGGAAAAGCATAGTATCTGGGCTGAAATGCACCATTCCTCACAGCACAGTCCCTCACAGCTTCTGTTGACTAGGGGAGGGAGTTCCCCGACCCCTTGTGCTTCCCAGGTGAGGCAACGCCCCACCCTGCTTTGGCTCACCCTCCGTGGGCTGCACCCACTGTCTAACCAGTCCCAGTGAGATGAGCCGGGTACCTCAGTTGAAAATGCAGAAATCACCCACCTTCTATGTTGGTCTCGCTGGGAGCTGCAGACTGGAGCTGTTCCTATTTGGCCATCTTCCAAAATGTAGATTATTTAAATGACAATGATAACTTGGATTTTCGTATCTGGTTTTCCTCATAAGCTTGAAGCAGTTGTACAGCTATTATATTATTGATGCATTAGTATCTCCACGAAGAAAGAAAAAATATGTTTTTCTCGTTGTAGAAATAGAGAAATGGAAGTATTAGTGGCCATTGTGAGGCCAGGCATGGTGGCTTATGCCTGTAATCCCAGCACTTTGGGAAGCCAAGGCAGGTGGATCACAAGGTCAACAGATCAAGACCATCCTGGCCAACATGGTGAAACCCCGTCTCTACTAAAAATACAAAAAAATTAGCTGGGCGTGGTGGCACACTCCTGTAGTCCCAGCTACTCAGGAGGCTGAGGCGAGAGAATTGCTTGAACCCAGGAGGTGGAGGTTTCAGTGAGCCGAGATCTTACCACTGCACTCCAGCCTGGCAACAGAGCAAAACTCCAACAACAACAAAAAAAAGCCAAGAGCACTGAGGAACCATAAAATCTTAAGGTGAAACGAAACTTAAGTTACCAACCCATTCAGCTACCCATCCTAACTTTGTCAACAATGGAGTTCCAAGATGAAAGAAAAATTATGAGAGCCCCTGTGAAGTAGAGGTAATTCGTGTTGACTCCTGTAGATTTTCCTTAACCAAAGATATTAATCAGTATTCTGAGGAAGATATGGATTCATAAGACAATGTTTACGGCCTTTTAAACCTATTCAAATATTGAATAATTTTCATATAGAGGAATATTGCAGGGTGGTTAGAAGCTACCACTTTTAACTTTACGAGAGCTTTTAGCTACCACCTTTAACCACTTTGGAGATAGGGAGACTAGCTCAGCCACTATCAACAGTGTGACCTTGGATAAATTACCTGACTTTTCTGAATAGTTGTTTCATAGAGTTTCAAGAGAACTGACTGGAAGTAATGCAGCTAAAGCCATTCGCATGGTGTCTAACACATATTAAATTCTCAATAACTAAAAGATAATAAAATAATTATTGTTATGAATAGCATTGGTTATCCATTGGGCAAGAAGCTTCACAACGTCTAGCCTTGTCAAGTTCAATGACATGCTTTTTGCATCATTTTTAAAATACTGTTTCTGTCTTATTGGTCATTCCTTTCCAGACAAATAAGGTGAAGTGTTTATTCTCAATTCTTTTCCTTTCTCTGCAAAACAGTAAAATTGAGGCTAACATGCCTCCCAAAGATGGGCCTAACCCCATAAGTATCCCAGGAAGAACCCCAATGCAGCATATGGCAGAGTGGGTAGGCACTTTAGGGAGAAAATCCTAAGACAATTGATTATGTTTAATCAATGTGTGTGCCATAAAATTTTGGAGGGAGGTACAGTCCTCCCATTAGAAAACTGAGAAGAGATTCACACCAAAATATATCTGCCAGCCACTAAAGTAGGCAAAGGCGTCTTGGATGGCAAGAGGACTTCTTGACTTTTCTCTGATTCTAGACTACATTCAGTGAAATAAACTCTTAAATGCACCAATGTGGGTTATATAAATAAGATGAAATCTCAGAGAAAATATTTTGAGTACCACATATGCTGGTGAAACAGATTAATTCCCTTATAACGTTACTGGGGATTTTATTTTGGACATTTTTCTTTTGTGATAGTATTTCAGGGAAAATAGTTCAAAAGTACAATTATGGCTCTGAGGAAGAGACCTTCTTACCTGTTTTCATTAGATTGGAAGCTTTTGGGAGAAAGTGGCTATGTTTCCACTGGTTATCCGCAATGCCTGCCAAAGCTCAAATCCCCAACGGATATTATTACTATCGCTAGAAAAACATTGGTGAAGGAGGATATGCTGTGCCTACTGAAAAAGTCACATAAGTTTTCCCCAACCCAGAAATTACAGAAGGTAACTAACTACTGCCATCATTTTTTCAGATAATGGATTACTGGAGGATTTGTCTTTTAAACATTTTTCAATTCCTACCACTTGGTTTTAAAAACACATAGGGATGACTTAAGGCTTGAGACTCTTTATGGCATTCTCAAATAACTTGGCCCTAAACCGATGCTACAAACCAGACTGGCTGTAGATTTTTAAAAATCCTTCCAAGCAGCGCTAGCTTTAAGCTCCTCATCTATGCCACTGAACAGGACTGCCAAATTCTAAAAGCGAAATTTCCAATAAAGATTAAATGAATATCATTTTACATTTCACTTACTCCATTAATATCAAATAAGAAGGTTCTAACCAAAACACGGCACAAAATTCCATATCATATGATTCACAGCTTTGGAAAATAAAAAAATCTATTCAGAATTTTTTTAGGGTTTATGCATTTCCTACTTTAAGCCTAAAGCCAATTTGTGGGATGAATCTAAACCATATGTCTGTCAGAAATTCTTTTTTAATCTTTCAACCTCTGCTTTAAACCTTTTCTTATTTTCACCAATTTAGGGTTTTTTAAGTATAATTTGAATGATTCAAGCAATATATTTTTTCATAGATTATAAAGTAGAAGAATTAAAGATAACACTATAACCTCATATTTACATAGTGTTTTCAAAATATCAACATGTTTAATGCCTATGACAGCATTTGATCCTAACAACAATCCAAGGTGCCCAGATCACAAAGAGTCAATATACACCCTTTGATCAACAGATAAACAGAAGCTCCATGAATTAAACTCCTTGCCCAAGATCACCTATCATATTAGAGTTTGAACATCCAGCACAATTTGTTTCTTAACTCCTCAGACTATATACAGTTTCACTATATCCACACTAAGAAAAGAAAAACCTGGAAAGTAAAAGGTCATGGTACCACTGATCCATGCTCATGAATGACGAAATAAATGTCAAAAGAGAGCCCAGAATATTTCTGTTGAAAATGCTTAAGAGAAATAATTTAAAATTGTGCATACCGCATTAATAACATCTTCAGAGTCAAGATTTTGTGTGATTGAATGGCCCAAAAGATACAGGAGTTGAAAAAAAGACCAACAAAATTCCATTTCAAAGGCGTTTATTTTCATTTTTGAAGGAGGGAAAATGACGTTTGCTTTGTTACACATGCTCCCACATGAGAAAAGAGGCACTATTTCTACTCTGGGTGCAAATGCAGTTTAAAAATAACAAGTAATATATAGTTTCCCAAGATGATGGAAGCGTGTATTAGATGTTTTTAGACTATGAGCTAGCATTTAGAAAGGACATTATCACTTTGGCACAAATGATTCATAAGCAGGTAAATGTAGCTTCAAAGAGGAGTGCAAAGCTCTAGGGTGCTCTTTGTGAAGTGTGTACCACACTGGCCCTCTTGCAGTAGAGCCCAGGGCTGCTCATGGAACAGACAATTTGGTCAGTCCTCATACACACTGAAGTCTCATTAGTAGCTCCAGGTCCTCAAAAATGATGAAACCAAGGACAAGGAGACCCTTCACGTGCAAGGATCAGGACTAACCAAGAGTTCATCAAATTCAATGAATAATCATTTCTTATACTATTTCTGCTTCTTGAGGAGAAATATTTAGGGGCAGGGTAGTAGGGAAGGGAGAAGAGATAAAAGGAAGACAACAGCCAGAAAGGTGTTTTTTAGACACAAACCAGATAATGTCACTGTTTTAGTCTTCAATGCCTCCCCATATTACTCAGAGAACAAGCCAGAGTCCTCACTTTGGCCACATGATCTAACTACATGATCTCCCATCATGCTCGGCCATACCTTCTCCCTCCAAGCATAGTGGCCACCTTACCAGTGCTTAAACATGCCAAGCACAATTCCACCACAGGTCCTTTGCACTAGCCAATTCGTCTACCTGGCACCCTCTTTTCCAATACTAGGAGGTTGGCAAAAGTTTTCTTTAAACAGCCAGGTAGTAAATGATTTAGGCTTCACAAGCCATACCATCTCTGCTACAACTACTCAGCTCTGCTATTGTAGCATGAAAGCAGCCACAGACATTAAATAAACAAGTGGGTGTGGCTGTGCACCAATAAAACTTTATTTACAAAAGCAGGTGGCAGACCAGATTTGGCCTATAGACAGTACATTGCCAATCCCTGCTCTAGATACATACAGGGCTTATTCACTCATTTAATTCAGGCCTCTGCTCAAATGCCTTCTTATCAGAGAAGCCTTCTCTGACCACCTTGTATAAATTAGCACCTCCCAATAATTTCTCTCTATTTCCCATTTCTACCTTATATTTTTCACAGCATTTGACACTTTCTGACAATTGGTATTTTTATGTGTTTATTCTCTTTCTCTAATACACAAACACATGCACACACACACACACGCACACACACACACGAACACACGAAGGACAGCTCTAAGTGAGAAATTGGAACCTGGTTCATTATTGTATTCTCAGGATCTAGACCTGTGCCTGGTATTTAGTAGATGTTTAATCAATATGGTATTTGTTCAATGAATAACTGAATAGTTAACATTTATTAGGGAGTTAATTGGGTGTATGGAAGGCTTAGAGATAGAACTAAGGAACCTAGTATTACCCAGTTAGATAAAAATCACTGTCAAAACTTAAGTAGGTTTTGAGTCTATAACAATGAAGGAACTGCACTAGATAAACATTTTCTAAAGTGTGTTCTGAAAAACCCTACTATATATCCTTAAGGGTATGGGACATTAGCAGTCCTATCTGGATTGAGTCACTGTAGTTTCAATGACTTTTATCAGATAGCATGGGTATTCTAAATGTGGGCTCTCTAAGAGGGACCCCAGAGGATCTCCTGCATTCTGAACATATTTCTCCTTACCCTCACTATGTACTAGTAACTCACTTTCCTCTGAATACTCAGAATAAATCGCCCCAGCTAGTACAGCAACCCCCTTCTTTGCCTACTGACTCCCTGGCACAAGAAGCACCAAGTGCCAGGTAGCAGTATCAGTTCAATGAAATCACTGTTTTGTCATCTGAATGAAGCAGAGGCAGAGATTCCAGGAAAGGTTTTACACTTGAGGTTTTCTATCAAATACTCTTAACTCATAGTATTCAAAAGGATAAAATCATGACTCTTAGGCAAATATAAAATTAGCACAAGTCCGAAATTTAGCTTTTTAATTGATGAAAAAACAGTAAAATGTTCCAGACCAAAGAGCATTTAAGGAGCGAGGTATTTACAAGCAATGTTAGGATAAGTTTCCTGGGTTAGATTTTTTTAAAAACGGGCTAATGTCCAATAGAGTTCATAAACAGTAACCTTTATGGTTATCTGTTCTTTGGACAGAAATTATTTGAGTTTCTATTAGATAAAATTCTACTAGTTCATCTCTGCCTCTACTTATGGGTGAAATAGCCTAGAAAATACCATGCCATGCCCAGCACTACACTAAAAGAGCATCTGTAATCTTTTTTGCCTAATTCCAAGTTTCTTAAGGACAAGTGCAATTCAAATGTAATGCCTAACTATCATCTGAATATCAATATCATACCTCAACAGGACCAATACCCAGAGAGTTAAAGTGACATGGCCCATATTACTTAGCATGTTAATGTGCCTTTGAGCTCAAAACCAAAGTCCCCTGAATTCTATCCTGATTCCTTTCTAACCATTCCCATGAGCCTTTTTCCATATATTCTAGGTAGAGAAAGTTTAAAAGGGCAGTTCCTCTCCTTTAAGTTATTCTACTTCCACGTGATTATTTGCCCATTCTTCCGGAAGGTAAGTGTCATAGCTCTAAAGGCACAGTTTGAGAAGTCACATTGGCATTTAAATTATCCCTCTGTCTTTGGTTTGCTGAGTGTCCTTGAGCAAAGCTTTAATGCCCTGGGACAGAAGATAGTGTAAAATATAATAGTATATACCTTGTACAATTGCAGGTGAGGTTTAAATTGATTAGTACCTGCACTTAGTGGGTACTAAATAAATACTAGTTCTCATTTCCCTTCCTACCCACCGTTAATTAATAATGTTTTACTTCACTAATGATGCCATTCAGAACCTATCGCCTATAAATGAAGTCTATTCCTTTGTGGTCTACTATAACTACCGTAATTTTAAATCATTGCCTAAACATCAAAAAGGCTGGTTGGAAGTGAAGAGACCATATCTAGAGACAGTCTGGACAAACTTCTTTAGCAAACGGTGACAACAGGGTTTTTACTGTTTCATTTTGACCTACTACAGAAAGGTAAACATTTTCCTAATTGAAATGTTAAAAAGGCTTATGTTGGCATAAGCAGGGCTTTTGCTACATATAACTAATATTGATGTAGCGCCAGTATAGTTTATAAATTGCTTTAACATAAATTCTGCCAAATCATCCTGTGAACACAGGGATGGCGGCCTTGGGCCAGTTTCTCTCAAAGCCTCAGTTTATTCTGTAAAATGGAGAAGAATAATGGTTTCCCATCAGAGAGACTAGCACGGAGTAGGCGAGTAGGCCTTCAGTGCATAATAACCATCATCAAAACCATAAGTAGCAACACCACCACCACCATGATCATAACCTTACGGATAAGCAAACTGAAACAGCACAGGTTAAGAAACTAGTCCACTGTCACAGAAGTGGGCCCTGCCATCAGGTATTAGCTGTGTGGCTCTTGGCAATGTTTATAAGATGAGAATGATGAGATTTGCCCCACCTCCCCACCTTTCAACCATGAATGTCAAAGGTATCTGAAAACTATTCCATGGATGAGAAAACTGGGGCACAGGGAGGCTAAGTAACTTGCCTAGGGCACACAGCTCATAAATGTCACAGCCAAGATTCAAACCCAGGCAATGTTTCCACAGAATCCGTACTCTTAATCACCCCATCATATTGCTTCAATGAAATAAATTATTATGATGGAAAAAATGCTATATTACCCTCCCCTCTTCATCAGTTATACTCCCCTCCAGGGCTTCTATGTAACATTTTGTGTATTTCTTTCTTTTTTTTTTTTTTTGTAGCTCTTGTCATATCATTTTAAATTATTCATTTCCTTACCCATTTCCCCTACCAGCCTATGAGCTTTTGAGGTCACTGTATTAGTTTCCTAGGGCTGCAGGAATTTATTCTCTCACAATCCTGAAAGCCAGAAGTATGAAATCAAGGTGTCAGCAGGGCCATGTTCCCTCCAAAGTCTCTGGAAAAGAACTCTTCCTTGCCTTTTCCTAGCTTCTGGTGATTCGGGTAATCCTTTGCATTCCTTGGCTTGCAGTTGCATCACTCCAACTTCTGCCTCTGCCTTTACATGGCCATATTCTCTCTGTATGTCTGTCTCTAAAACTCCCTCTCCTTATAAAAACACCTTAGAGGGCCCATGTTAATCCAGTATGACCTCATTTTAGCTCAACTAATTATATCTGCAAAGATCCTATTTCCAAGTAAGGTCACATTCTGAGGTTCTAGGTGAACATGAATTTTGGGTACACACTATTCAACCAAGTATAGGCACCAACTGTGTCTAATATTTTTATAGATTCCCTGGCCCTAGTGTAAAATACATACAGATTAAGCCAGAGATAGCTTGGTG
This sequence comes from Homo sapiens, assembly GCF_000001405.40. NCBI lineage: Eukaryota > Metazoa > Chordata > Mammalia > Primates > Hominidae > Homo > Homo sapiens. The sequence continues at coordinate 14,744,162 of NC_000023.11, forward strand.
ACTGAGCATGCAGGTGCCGGAGTAAAATTCCCTGGGAAAAAAACATTCTTTCTGCCTCTAACAACTGTGAGCCTTTAAGCGATGGTTCCAAATGCTCTATGCCTTGGAGTCCTAATGTTTAAAATAGTACCTATTTCACAGGGTTCTAATGAGACTGAACTTAGTTAATTCAGAACAAGTGCTTAGAACAATAACTAGTCCATAAGAAGTATTCAACAAAGATTATTTTTAGACAGCAAACACAATATTTTTAAATGAAATAATGCAAGCAAGGAGTTCCAGAAAGCACTAAAACAGCCTATATTCAGCTGTTAATATTATAAAATATTCTCACATCAACCCTTTCTCTGTGTGTAGTATTTTTAGAGCATCAATGAACATTCAATTTAAAAGAGAGAATGGCTGTAGGAGGGAAGGAGGTGAAAAGGAAAAGGCTTGCCTTCCCTTTCCCCTCAGGGGAAAAAATTAAAAAGCCATGGAGAAGCAGTATAATTTCTAAGAGACCATGCCAGGAAAATGGAATTGCTTTTCTGAAAATAGAAGATTAATACCTGGAGGGTCTAAAATGTAATTATGGTATTGATCTCAGGAAAGCCTTGGATGGATCTTTTTTTTCCTCTTGTGGTCTCAGTTATCATTAAAATGGGCTCACATGTCAGGGTCGGCAGACTACAAAGTACCTGCACGGAACACATCAAGGCAGGCAAAAAGGTCCTCTTAGTGGGTTCTGGGAGGTATCTCAAGGTAACTTTTAATGTATGTCAGCATGGTTCACTCATTAATTTTCTCAATGGCTTTGGTAACTGATTTAATAAGCTGTTAATGAAGTAGCAAGGCAAAACTAAGAGCTACTGTGTCCTAGTTCCATCCATCCTGTGGTGTGGCTGCACGAACAGGAAGACCCCAAACCTCAGGATTGAAATGAATTAAAGCTGATTTTACATCTTTCCTCTCTAGCTCCATTAAGGAAATGAATTTTTTAAAAATTCCAGATATACTTCCCCCTGTTAAAAGATAAACTTAGGCACATTAAAATTTTAAAGAGTTTATTTGAGCAGACAGTGATTCATGAATCAGGCAGCAACAAACTACAAGGGGTTTGGGCTCCACTGACACAGGGTAAGAAGAAAACTTTTGTAAACAAAAGTTTGGAAGCAAAACAAAGAAAACATTTGATGGGTTAAGGTAGAAGAGTAGCCTTAGAGTCCCTAGTTTGAAATTAGTTGGTTATTTCTTATTATTTAAGCTTAAGTTTCATTTCCTAGGATACGACCATTTGCTCTGACTTGGGTTTTGGTTTGCTTATGCAGGAATCCAGGGTGCTGGAGCCACCTCAATCTAATGGCCTCTCAATTAATTATTTTAACACTCCTCAGTTCCCTTCCCTTCCAACCAGTTCAGAATCCTGCAACCAACACCTTCCCCTCCTTGGTTGGACAAACACATAACCCAGTGTTTTACTGGGAGGCTCTGGCTACCTCCAAAATGAATACAAGTCTTGAGACTGATGACTGGAAACTCTGGAATTTTTTTTTTTTTTTTTTTTTTTTTTTTTTGAGACAGAGTCTCACTCTGTCGCCCAGGCTGGAGTGCAGTGGCATGATCTTGGCTCACTGCAAGCTCCGCCTCCCGGGTTAACGCCATTCTCCTGCCTCAGCCTCCCATGTAGCTGGGACTACAGGCGCCCACCACCATGACCGGCTAATTTTTTCTATTTTTTAGTAGAGACAAGGTTTCACCGTGTTAGCCAGGATGGTCTCGATCTCCTGACCTCGTGATCTGCCCACCTTGGCCTCCCAAAGTGCTGGGATTACAGGCGTGAGCCACCGCACCCGGCCGAAACTCTGGATTTTTAAAGAAATAGCCCTAACAACAACTTGTCATTAATATATTAGGGGCCCTTTGGGGCAGTTAAGGGGAGCAAGATGAAGATGTGTCTGAGAACTTTTGGAGATCTCTGATTTTATGATTATAGTTTCACTAAATCATTCAGTCAAAACTTTTAGCATTCCACATCCTTCTCCAGAGAAACTATGCCAGCTGCAGATAGTTTCAAATGATTGAATCTTGTCATTCTAGAATGAGAATGAGAAATTAGGCTGGAGAGAAAAGCAGGGATGAAAATATGAAGTCACATGCCTGTTTTAGGATCTTGGGATTTATCTTGTAAGCAGTGGGATGCCATTACAAGATTTTAAGAGTGATTTTGCATTTCAGCACATAATTCTGACTACAAAGTATGGAAGAGATCAGAAGGGGATGAAAGGATAAAAGAAGAATGAAAGGATAAATGTAATTATGGTATTGATTTCAGGAAAGCCTTGGATGGATCTAAGTGATCTCTAAAGTTTTGAAATTAAATATTCCTGTTGAAACGTGACAAGATCCATCTACTGATGAACATCATTTGAACAAAGGAGAATTTCCAGCCTAGACAAAGACAGAAACAAAGCGGACCCTAGAAACTTGAATAAAAACTTTACCAGTGAAAATTTGTCAAAAATCATGGTGCTACCAGCTGAATATTCAGCAACATTCCACTTCCAGTTACAATCAGGAGTTAAGCAAAGTATGCAAAATGGTAAGGCTGTATCACTTTGTGGTTAAGTACATTTGAGACCTATGTTTGAGTATCAAATGTGCCACTTTCTCTTCCTTTTTGTTCCTGTTCCTTTGATGTGTTGCTTCATCTCTCAAATTCTCCCATCTGTAATGGGAACAAGGATAGCAGCACCAAATTTACGATGGGCCATTGTGAGATCCATGCATGTAAAGAATTGGAACATTACATGGTTTGTGATGAGGGTCATTTCTACCCAACTCAGTGGTTTCTTTACATGTGGAGAGAGCTCACTAGGGTATTCTTTCTGGCCTCTGTCAGCCCCTCCACAGAAAGAATGACTGGATCTGACTAGGGAGTTTGAAGATGTTTTTCTGCCCCACTCCTCTTTCCTTTTTCTTGGGAGATGCCTACCCTCCAAAATGGTATGTTGTGCTCTGGTCTTGCCTTATGTTTTCAACATAATGGGAATGTTTTCTACGGAGAAAAATGTTTTCAATATTTCCCTCCAGGGAAAGCTTACAGTTCTCCAACATGATCTATGACTCAACAGGTAAGTCTAACTAATTCTAGAGTACAGAATTTTCAAGCCTGCTTGTCCACAGATATAAATCACATTTTCCAATATAAGCACTATTTGCAACAAAATTGACACAGGTATACCACACAGAATTTGTCCTTGGTTAATGTTTTCTCAGGAGAATGCCTCTTGGTTTTTAAAAACTAAACTTTACCTAAGTACTCAGTGGAATGAGGGTTGCATTTAAAAAAACTACATTTATGCCTTTAAAAATCAATACAACATTTTTAACAAAAGAATGTGTGAAAAACATCCAGAAGTTTCACTCCAAATACAACTGGCATTTAGAATGAATCAAGTTTAGATGAATCAGAAGTACACATAGCTATTTTAAAGTGCTCCAAGTATCAACAGAGGGGATTTGTGGCTAGGATGTTCCTAGCACTAAGAAAAATATCACTGCAGACAAAGCAACTGTTTGTCAATAGCCATATTAATTTCGGTTGGTTTGGTACCAAGGAAACAATGTTTTAAGCATTTATCTCATGATATGACAGTTTCTTCTTCATGCGTGGACATTTTAATGTGTTTTAGTTGGTTGGGGGTTTGGGGTTGATTTGTAATGCACAATAATTTTCCCTATTTAAAATAATTGGAAAAGGGCTCCTTTAGTATTTTCATATAGAACAACTGATTTCATTAACACAAAACCAATGTCAAGCTAGAGGTGTCTGTATTTTGGGCCTCTCATCTGCCTTACCTGTTTGTCTTATTTTTCAACTGGTTAACAACCCAATGAAAAAAGGAGATGGCTATTTGCTGGCCCCAGCTAATAACTAGAATGCAGCAAGTGTGACAGGGTGTCACCTCCAAGATCAGGTTACAAAAGACTCTGACATCTGTCTTGCCCTCTCTGTGGCTTTTATTGCTTGCTTACTCAAAAGAAGCAAGCTACTATGTAGTGAATGGCCCTACAGAGAGGTCTACATAGCAAGGAACTGAGGGAGGCCTCTGGCCAATATCCAGCAAGCAACTGAGGCCTTCAGTCCAGTAACCTGTGAAAAACTGAATCCTGCCAACAGCCATATTCTCCACCAATTGAACCTTGAGGTGACTGCAGTCCTGGACAGCACTTTGTGGCCTTGTGAGAGACTCTGAGACAGGGGACCCAGCTAAGCCATGCACAGATTCCTGACCCACAGCAACTGTGCAGTAATAAATGTTTGTTGTATTAAAGCCACTAAACTCTAAGGCAATTTGTATGCAGTAATAGCTAACTAATACACTCAGTAAATGTATGCTGATAACAACGACAACAATGCATGATTTAATTACTCCCTGAAGAGTTCACACGATCTGGATACTTAGATACTTCCTTCTTGGAAATAGACCATGACTTTCTGAACATTGTCTGGTATTTGTGGAAAACTAAATAGGGGACTTGCCAAAAACTAGGTTGGATCCCATCACTTTAAATCAAGGCCAAATTTAGAGCATCACTATCCGGAAAGGAACTTTGATGTCACTAGCCAAATCCCATCATTTTACAGAAATGGAAACTAAGGCTCAGAAGAGCTAAGTGACTTGCCCAGGACCATGGCAGTGTCATTTTAGAACGAAGGGCTCCTGACTCCTACACTAAGGTTCTTCCACAACATCTCTTGATAGTGTATAGAAGACAGGAAGATCAGAAAGGCTGGAGAACCCTGAATGTATAAAGTATGACTTAAGCAGGGCTTGAAACAATGGGTAGGGTTAGGGAAGGCATTTCACATAAGGAGTCTATATGACAGAAAGAACAGTGATGGGACTGTGTCTCATGTGAGGGGTACCAAAAAACAAAATCTCCATGATTCAGTCAGTCATCCTGAAGCTCATATGAAAAGCAAGGATGAAGAGGCCTTGGAGCGAAATGGTACCTACAAGGAGCAGGGTAAGGAGGACAAATTTTGGTAGACAAACAAACCAAGGAACATTTGTGTGAGACTTTATGGCAGGAAGCAGAATGAATGTGGAAATAAGATAAATGGGTGGGCAGGAAATGTGGCAGGCATCAGAATTTGGGAAACTTTATAGTTTCACAGTCTTGAAGCAGAAGGAAAGAAAGAGGAAAGGCTCACACTTGTAGACGTAGGGCTCAGATGTGTGCTTAGAGTATGCCAAAACCCTTACCTGGATCTTGTGGCAGGATCCTCCCTTATATGACCATATTGGCTGCCAGATATTGTTATGTAGTGTTTAATCTATACAGATGTACACTACAGCCGTGTGGTAGGCGAATAAAGCTTTGGAAATTGATACATAAAATTCGTATACAAAAACCCACCTTTAAATAAATTATTAAAAAAGTAATAATTTATTTGAATTACTGATTCCTCATACCCAGGCTGAGGAATCCCAAATGTAACATCTTATCATAATTGGTTTAGCAAATCCAGTGATAATTCTCTGATTCTTGACACAGACACTGGCACGTCAGAGAGGAGCCAAAAGGGCAATGAACTGGAGCCACAAGTCTGGATTCTAGTCTAGTGTGACTTAACCTCTCTGCATTTCATATATTGGTAATTCAACTGCCCAATAAAGATAATAATAGCTGCCTGTCCTATGTCACAAAGCTTCTGTGAAGGTTGAAGTTTGAAAAGTGTTAAAGGGCTGTACAAATGCTTGGCTACACAGAAAAAGAGATTCCACTAAGTTTTCCATTGCAGCCATGAAAAGACCCTTTTTCAGTGTGTAATGGCTTCCTTTACAAAGAGCAAAGAGTTTCAAAGGATAAAATAACATAAAAATTGTATCACATTGTCACAGAACGTACAATAAATAATGGGGCTGAAGACGATTCACAAAGATAATCAGATTGAGGCTCTGTGAAGCAGAGCATTCAATTCCTATGATTCTCAAATATGTTTTCCAGGTTTCAGCCATGGAAGAAGTTCCAGCATCCAAATGATTTAGGCAGGGGGAAATGGAGGGATGAGTGTGGGGACTTCCCTGGTGTATTAGTTAAGGTAATGCTAGCTGCTTTAACAGATAAGCCCACAAACTCAGAGGCTTAACACAATGGACGTCTGTCATTCACTCAAAGCAACGGATTGGCAGGTAGCTTTTCTCTCTTCTAAGCAGTGATTTGGGATCCAGACTCCCTCAATGGCTCCACCATCACCATGGCTCAAAGTCTACGGCCGAATCCTCTGTATCTGTTTGGTGTACAGGAAAAGATGAAGGAGGAACACCTGTTTTCAGCTACCTATACTTGGAGATGACATACATCACTTCCACTCATATTCCTGTGGTGAGAACTTTTTATACATTCTGCTAGGCACAAGGGTGGTAGAAAACGTTGTTCCTGGTTTGCCAGGAACAACTCAACACTATGAAAGGGGAGCCCAAGTCTCTGGGGGACAGGAAACCACTATGCCTCACTTGGGAACAGAAAGAACACAGATGTCTACTGTTTTGTATCCTTGCCTCTTGCCAGCATTTCTAGGGAATACACACATCAAAGGTTTTTATAGCTAGAAGTGTTATCAATAAAACAAATAGCTTTGCTCAGAAAGCTGCTGACATTTATCCTTAAATCATATGAAAATAGGCCTTCATAGTTCTAAACCAGAGATCAGAAGCTAATGGGAAGACATTATTTAAAAAAAAAAAAAAAAGGCACTGAAGTCAAGCCAGGCTAGGTTCTAATCCCTGCTCCAGCCCAAGCAATGAGAGACCTTGCATAATTTATTTAACCCTTCCAAACTTCAATGTCTTCAGCAGCATACCCTCAATAAGAAGATTACTGTAATGACATGGCAAGTGCTTGGCTCATAAAAGGCACTTGTAAAATAGCGCCCTCATGGCATCTCCTGAAGTTGAGCACATACATCTCCCATAGCCCAGCAACTCACTCCCAGGTATATAGCCAACAAATACATATATTTGCCAAAAGTTAAGTACCAGAATGTTCAGAGCAGCACTGTTCAAATAGCTAAAAAGCAGAAATATACTCATGCTCACCAAGTGTACAATGGATAAATAGATTGTGGTATATCTTACACACAATGCTACACAGCATGAAAATGAACAAACTGTAGCTACGTGCACCAATATGGATGAATCTCACAAGCATATATTGAGCAGAAGATACAACAGAATACCTACCGTGTGATTCCATTTATATAAAGTTCCAAACAGACAAAATTAATCTGCACCGTTAGAGAGAAAATGATTGATCGTTACCCTTGGAGGGAGATATTGCAAGGGAATAGACATGAACATGGCTTGTGGGATGCAGGTAATGTTCTCTTTTTGGATAGGGGTGTTAATTACTGGGTACACTCAGTTTGTAAAAATTCACTAAGTTATATACTTACATCAATAAAAAGTGTTTAAAAATAATGTCTTTCCCCTGAGAGACCCCCAAAGGGCTTAAATATTGCTCACAAGTACCACAGCCTCTGGAAGGGGATAAAAGGGTAAAAGGAGCAAGAAGGGAGAAATGTGAAAATAAGCCATAAAGAGGGAGGAGAGGGTGAGGACACACAATAAGGCTGCAGGGTATCAACAGCCAGAGATATCTACCACTTCTCTAAATCATGCCATTTCTGTTATATCTAAACCCTGACAATTGCAAAAGGGTCCAGGTCACTTTTTTCACAGTACCCTGGCATTCTTATTTGGGCTAAGTTTTAGCACTGCTGAAAATACAAGTCTTCCCTATGGGCAATCCACTACATGTCTTCCAGATTATAATGTGTCTTTCTGTTCCATATGTCACCCTGTCATTTCTGTCATTGTGATTCTTTTTTCCTTTGTCATTTTGGTATGCTGGGGGAGTTAGGTTGTGTCTGTGTATGTTTGTGTTTTGTAAGGGTAGGGAGTCATCCTAACCAATGCCAGTCCTTGCAATTTATATATTACCCTAATCACCAATAAGACTTTCAATATCATAATCATGTAAAAATCATTATCTGCTAATATCACCTCCAGATAGCCTGGTTTCCACAGGGGTAACTACAGGTAATAACTCAAGCTTATGCTCACATGCTTCTACATATTGAACAAGGCACCCATAAATACTTGTCATGTGGAGTTATCCCATAATAACAAAAGGCCACTAAGATTACAACACTAGCAATCATTGATCAACACATTTGGCTTCCTTTTATAAGTGATTGTATAAATGTTACCATCAAAGGGAAGTTTAAGAGGTTACCTTTCCATTTAGTCTAAGATAAAATTAAGGCCAAGAGACTTGAATAACTTGTTTTAAGACATATAGTATGACCAAAAGAAATCCAGATTTTTCTCTTCCCTATTTAGCATCCTTTCCCTACCCCATACCTTTAAAGGACTTCTGTTTCTCTTCACATGTAGTTGACATGAAATGAATATGATTCCAACATTCTGCATTTCCCATTTCAATCATAAGTCCCCAGGTCTGATGTCTACATAAATGAGTATCTTGGCTTTTGCCTAAAACAAATGTACTGAGATAATATTGTTAGGAAATTTCTAGAGGAAGCTGTATCAATTATGTCTTTATTTCCTCAATTGTCAAGGTTTTTCTTTTTACTTTTTTTGAAACATTTTTTAAAGTTAAAAAATACAAGAATAGTACAAATAACTCCCATAAAACTTTACCCAGACTGCTCAATTTTTACATTTTGCCACAGCTGCTTTATAATTCTCTCCTCCTCCCTCCTTCCTTCTTCTCTGTCTCTGGCTCTCTCTCTCTCTCTCTCTCTGACACACACACACACACACACACACACACACACACACACACACACACACATTAGTTTTTCTCTATTGAGAGATTACATAAATCATGCCACTTTACCTCATAATACTTTAGTGTACATTTCCTAAGAATATGATATTTTCATATATAACCACAATTATAAAATTTGAGAAAATTAATATCGCCACCATATTTTTATCTTTTCTACAGTTCACATTCCAATTCTGTTAATCATCCCAGCAATGTCCTTTAAAGCATTACCTCCACTCAATCCAAGATCCAATCCAGTATGACATTTTATATTTTCTTTTCAAGCCTCTTTACTCTCCTCCAATATGGAAAAGTTATTTGGTCTTTCTTTTCTTTAATGATACTGACATTTTGGAAAAATGCAAGCCATTATTTTTACAATAGAATTATTTATCTAGGTTATACGACTTATCTATTGCTATGTCATAAACCATCCCAAAAGTCTGTGGCTTAAAACAAAAATTTATTAGAACAAATACTTCTCATCTCTCACTATTCCGTGGTTCAGCTAGATGCTTCTTCTGGTTGGGCCAGGTTGGCTAAAGCTGGGTGGTCTAGGATGACCTCATTCACATGTCTGGCAGTTGGCTGAATATCAGCTTGGGTGACAAGGATGACTTAGCCATGTGTCTCTCAGCAGCCTAATTCAGGCTCATTCACATGGTAGTGATTACCGAGTTCCCAAGCTCAGGAAGAGAGTAAGCCCCAATGAACAAAGACCTCCCAAGCCTTCACTTGCATCATGTTTGTTAATGTCCTATTCGCCAAAGGAAATCACAAGGCCAGCCTAGGGTCAGTGTGGCAGAGCGCTTCCCTAGACCATAGATAGAAGTAGAATGATCTGTGGCCATTTTTATAATCTACCACAGCAGGCAAAAGCCAGAAATAAAATATTTTTTCAAGAAAGAAAGAATATGCTATTAGAAAGAATATGCACAGGATCTGAGCACAGTTTGGGGAGCTGGCAGAAGTTTACACAGCCGCATTGCTCCAGAGAAGCCAATGTTTGCCCCCTCCCCCTCCATGACCCAAGCTGCTGCAACATGGTGCCATCTTGTAACCAGACGCATTGTGAGAGTGTGTCCTGCTCCAGGATCTGGTAGCCAATGCATCTCCCCATCCCTGTGGCTTTACAGCCATGACACCATACACACGTACAATAGTTCGCCAGCTGAACTGCTGCAGTTAAACTCAGAGAAGTAAAAGGAGACATTACAATTGAAGACATAAAAACATCATAGGGGAGACTATTATGAACTATATGCCAACAAATTGAAAAGTCTAGAAAAAATTGATAAACTGTAAACACACAACCTACCAATATTGAAGCACAAAGAAATAGAAATCCTGGACAGACCAATAACAAGTAACGAGACTGAATGATGGCCACAGTGCTATATTCTACCAAACGTATTTTTAAAAGCAATAAATGTTACTTTTAAGATGAAAATCTATTACGAAAACATAATTCTAAGCTGGTTGATTAACAGTAACTCACAGAAATGTATATATGTTACCCTGATATTTGATATTGTAAGGACTCATGCCCTTAACAAAAATATGGAGCTAAATTGCTGTGAATAGGGTTGATGGGCAATATCACACACACACAAAATGAGAGGGGCTGACTCAATCTCAGAATAACAGTCATTGGAGGAGAATCCCTATTTCATTTTTCTGAGATTTTTAGTTTTTTTAATGTTTATTTAAGGTTCAGGGGTACACATGCAGGTTTTTAATATAGTCTACCAAACACCTAAAGAAGAAATAATGTCAATTATTTTCAAACGACGCAAAAAAAAAATTAAGAAGAGGGAATTCTTGCAAACTCATTCTCTGAAACCAGCATTACCCTGTTACGAAAACCAGAAAAGAATACACAACAACAATAAAAACTACAGGCCAATCTCCCTGATGAATATAGACGCAAAAATCCTCAACAAAATACTAGCAAACCAAATTCAATAGCACATTAAAAAGATCATTCATGTGGTTTAACGTATACAAACCAGTAAATGTGACATATCACATTAACAGAATCAAAGACAAAAACCATATAATCATTTCATTAGATAGAGAAAAAAGCATTTGATAAAATTCAATGTCCCTTCATGATACCAAATTAGGTATACAAGGAATGTACCTCAACGTAATAAAGGCCACATGTGACAAACCCACAGCTAGCATCATACCAAATGGGAAATAGTTGAAAGCTTTTTCTCTAAGATCTAGAATAAGACAAAAGTGTTCATTTTCACCACTTCCAATCAACATAGTACAGGGATCATAGAACAATTATGCAAGAGAAAGAAAATAATACAAATTGAAAAGGAGGCCATCAGCTTGTCTCTGTTTGTACATAACATGATCTTATATATTTAAAAAAAATCCCTAAAACTCCACACACATAAAAACTGTTAGAACTAATGAAGAAATTCAGTAAAGTTGCAGGATATAAAACCAACATATGAAAGTCAGTAACATTTCTACGTACCAGTACCAAACTTAATGGAAAAGAAACCAAGAAAGCAATCCCACTTACAACAGCTACAATAAAAATAAGATACATGGGAATAAATTTCATCAAAGACATGAAAAACTTTCTACAAGGAAAACTATAAAATATTGATGAAAGAAATTGAAGAGGATACATATAAACAGAAAGCTATGCCTATGTTCATGAATTAGAATAATTAATATCATTAAAGTGACCATACTACCCATAGTGATCTATGGATTCAATGCAATCCCTATCAAAAAACCAATGACATTATTCACAGAAATAGAAAAAAAAATCCTAAAATTCATATAGAACCACAAAAGACCCTGAATAGCCAAAGCAATTTTGACCAAAAAGAACAAAGCTAAAAGCATCACACTCTGTAATTTCAAAATATATTACAGAGCTATAGCAACCAAAAGAGCATGGTACTGGCATAAAAACAGACATATAGACCAATGGAACAGAAAAGAAAACTCAGAATATAAAAGAGAACAGAATAGAGAAATAAATTTGCATACTTACAGCCAACTGATTTTCAGTAAAAGTGCAAAGAACACATATTGGAGAAAGGACAGTCTCTTCAATAAATGGCACTGGGAAAACTGAATGTCCACATGCAGAAAAATGAAACTAGACCCTTACCTACAGCCACATACAAAAATCAACCCAAAATGGACTAAAGACCTAAAAGACCTGAAATAATAACACTAGAAAAAGAAAACTTAGGGGAAATGTATCATGACACTGGTCTGGGCAAAGGCTTTTTGGATAAGACCTGATAAGCATGGGTAACAAAAGCAAATATAGACAAACAGGATTACATCAAACTAAAAAGCATCTCCACAGCAAAGATAATGCTCAATAAAATGAAGAGACAACTGATAGGAGAAAGTATTTGCAAACTATGTACCTGACAAGGGGTTAATATTCAGGATATATAAGCAACTCAACTCAATAGAAAAATAACAATAACAAAACAAACCAAATAATTTAGATTTTGAAATGGGCAAAAGACCTCAATACATGTTGGAGGCCGCACAAATGTTTATGATTAGGCACAACTGAAGCCTGTCAGTAACAATATGAACCTGTGATCAATTAAGCAACTGACCGGTCATTACCTCCTCCTCCTTGCTCCTGTTACCCAATAAATATGAAGGGCTGAGAAGCTCGGGCAGCGGTCTTTGCTCACTAGAAGCAGGGAGCTCTTCTCTTCTCTCCACGTTGCCTTTCCTCAAAACAGTTTCTTTTGTTTTATGTTATCATTTCTACGTTTGTCCCTTCATTCAGTCATAATGACGGTCTCAAGCAGTAACAGTAGTAAATGCTGTAATGACGGTCTCAAGTAGTGACAATAGTAACTGTCATAGTGATGGTCTCAAGTAGTAGCTGTGGCAGTCAGCCACAAATATACATTTCTCCAAAGATAACACAAAAATGGCCAACAGGGATATGAATAAATGCTTAACATCACTAATCTTCATGGAAATGCAAATGAAAACCATACTGAGGTATCTCCTCACTCCAATTAGAATAGCTATTATTAAAAAGACAAAGTAATTAATGCTAGTGTGGATGTAGAGAGGGGAACTCTTATACACTATCGTGGGAATGTAAATTAGTATAGCCATTATGAAAAACAGTATAAAAGTTGTCTAAAAAATTAAAAATAGAACTACCATATGATCAGCAATCCCACTACTGGATCTACATCCCACGGAATGGAAATCATGTCAAAGTGCTACCTGCATTTCCATGTTTATTCCAGCATGATTTACAATAGGTAAGATATGGGATCAGTCTAAATGCCCATCAACAGTTGAATGGGAGGATTAACTTACAGCTGTCACTCGGATGGACAGAGCAGTGTGTGGAGACTCACATCATGAACTTTTGCTCCAAGAACTACCACAGGAAAGTTATCTGGAAAGCCAAGACACTCCACAGACCCTTTGAAGGAAGTGGATTGCTGCTACAAGCCCCTGAAGACAGCCAAAAAACTGTGAGTGCTCTAAGAATGAAAGGGAGATCATCTGCCCCCAAACACAGACCCTCACTGGGGAACCTGGAGGTCCAGATCACGGGAAAAGGATCTTAACTTACCTGGAGCTGAGAAGAATTTAGAGAGCCGAACAAAGTACGGGGTAGAAGAAGCAGCAAAAAGAGCCCTGTGGGCTCTCTCAGTCCCCAGGAAAGCCATTTCTGTCTCACGCGGATCCTTGGGGAGGGATGCCAGAGGAACTGGGAAAAGACCACAGGGAGAAGAAAACTTCCAGCTGAACTTTGTAACACTTTTGACTGAATGCAAAGTTTCCTGGACAGAACCTGGGGGAGAGGGCAAATCGGGAGTGCAGACACAGCACAGAAGCCACGGCAGGCAGGCGGCAGACGGAGAGGCATGAAACCTGAAAGCCCTACTTGCTTTCTCAGCTGGGAGGCTGGTAGCCTGGGGCAAGTTCTCAGCTCTGCTCATCCACTGACTGGAAATAAACTAGGTGCTGTTGGGGAGGCACGGTGGAATTGAGACCAGCCTTTTGGGCTGCTTGGGAGCCAGGTGAGGCCTATAACTGCTAGCTTTCCCCCATTTCCGCGGTACAGCTTTCCCACTGCCTTGCATGACGCAGCAGAGGCACCCACAGTGCCCCCGGGAACATAACTCCATTGGCCTGAGAACCACACCCCATCCCCCACAGCAGCCACAGCAAGCCCTGCCCAAAGAGACTCTGAGCTCAGACAAGCCTAACCTTTCCCCCTCTTAATGATCTTTCTCTACCTGTGCTGACAGCAGAAGACAAAGGACATATTCTTTTGGGAGCTCTAGGGCTCCACCCACCGTCTCATCCTCCCTATACTACCACAGCTGATGCTCTCTTGAAAGCAACACCTCCTGGCTGGAGGCCAACCAACAAAAAACTTGCGCAATAAACAAAACTACAACCAAGGACCCTCACAGAGTCCACATCACTCCCCTGCCACCTCCACCAGAGCAAGTGCTTGTATCCACGGCTGAGAGACCTAAAGACAGTTCACATCAGAGGACTCAGTGCAGATACTCCCCAGTACCGACCTGGAGCCTGGTAGCTCTGCTGGGCAGCTAGATCCAAAAGAGAAATATCAATTACTGCAGTTCAGCTCTCAGAAAGTCATATTCCTAGGGGAAAGGGGAGAGCACCATATCAAGGGAGCACCCTGTGGGGGACAAAAGAATCTGAACAACAGCCCTTGAGCCCCAGATCTTCTCTCTGACATAGTCTACCCAAATGAGAAGGAAGCAGAGAGACAATTCTGGTAATATGACAAAACAAAGTTCTTTAGCACCCCCAAAAGATCATACTAGCTCACCAGCAATAGATCTAAATCAAGACGAAATCTCTGAATTGCCAGAAAAAGAATTCAGAAGATTGATTATTAAGCTAATCAAGGAGGCACCAGAGAAATGTGAAGTCCATCTTAAATAAAAAAAAAATTACAAGATATGAAGGGAAAAATCTTCAGTAAAATAGCATAAATAAAAAACAATCGCAACTTCTGGAAACAAAGAACACACTTAGAGAAATGCAAAATACACTGAAAAGTCTCAGCAACAGAATCAAACAAGTAGAAGAAATAACTTCCCAGCTTGAAGACAAGGCTTTCAAATTAACTCAATCCAACAAAGACAAAGAAAAAAGAATTTTAAAAAATGAACAAAGTCTCCAAGAAGTTTAGGATTATGTTAAATGACCAAACCTAAGAATAATTGGAGTTCCTGAGGGAGAAGAGAAATGTAAAAGTTTGGAAAACATATTTGAGGGAATAATCGAGGAAAACTTCCCTGGTCTTGCTAGAGATCTAGACATTCAAATACAAGAAGCTCAAAGAACACCTGGGAAATGTATCGCAAGAAGATCATCACCTAGGCACATAGTCATTAAGTTATCTAAAGTCAAAATGAAGGAAAGAATCTTAACAGCTGTGAGGTAAAAGCATCAGGCAACCTATAAAGGAAAACCTATCAGATTAACAGCATATTTCTCAGCAGAAACCCTACTAACTAGAAGGGATTGGGGTTTGATCTTTAGCGTTTTTAAACAAAATAATTATCAGCCAAGAATTTTGTATCCAGTGAAACTAAGCTTCATAAACAAAGGAAAGATACAGTCTTTAATGCTGAAAGAATTCACCACTACCAAGCCAGCACTATAAGAACTGCTAAAAGGAGCTCTAAATCTTGAAAGAAACCCTTGAAATACACCAAAATAGAACCTCCTTAAAGCATAAATCTCACAGGACCTATAAAACAAAAACACAATGGAAAAAAAAAAAAAGTATTCAGGCAACAAATAGCATGATGAATGGAATAGTACCTCACATCTCAATAGTAACATTGACTATAAATGGCCTCATATTCAGCCAAACTAAGCTTCATAAGCCAAGGAGAAATAAAATCCTTTACAGACAAGCAATGGCTGAGAGATTTTGTCACCACCAGGCCTGCCTTACAAGAGCTCCTGAAGGAAGTACTAAACATGGAAAGGAACAACCGGTACCAGCCACTGTAAAAACATACCAAATTGTAAAGACCATCGACACTATGAAGAAACTGCATCAACTAACAGACAAAATAACCAGCTAACATCAAAATGACAGGATCAAATTCACACATAACAATATTAACCTTAAATAAAGAAAGAAAATGTGGTAAATATACACAATAGAATACTATTCAGCCATAAAAATCAATGAAATCTTGACATTTGCAACAACATGGATAAACCTAGGACATTATGCTAAATGGAATAAACCAGGCACAGAAAGACAAATACCACATGATCTCACTCATATGTGGAATCTAAAAACATTGATCTCATAGAAGTAGAGAGTAGAATAGTGGTTACCAGAGGCTTGGAGGGTAGTGGGGAAAGGATGATTAGGAGAGACAGGTCAACAGGTTCAAAGTCATAGTTAGGAGAAATAAGTTCTGGCATTCTAGTGTGCAGTAGAGTGACTATGATTAACACTATTGTATATTTCAAAATTGCTTAAGAAATGATAAATGTATGAGGTGAGGGATATGCTAAATGCACTGATTTGATCATTATACAATGTATACACATGTCAAAATATCACACAGTACTCCAGAAATATATACAATACTATTTGTCAATTTAAAACCAATTTTTAAAAAACAAAAAAGCCAGCCAGGTGCGGTGGCTCATGCCTGTAATCCCAGCACTTTGGGAGGCCGAGGTGGGCAGATCACTTGAGGTCAGGAGTTCGAGACCACCCTGGCCAATATGGTGAAACCCCGTCTCTACTAAAAATACAAAAAAATTAGCTGGGTGTGGTGGCGTGAGCTTGTAATTCCTGCTACTCAGGAGGCTGAGGCAGGAGAATCACTTGAACCCGGGAGGCCGAGGTTGCAGTGAGCCAAGATTGCACTGCTGCACTCCAGCCTGGGTGACAGGGTGAGTCTCTGTCTCAAAAACAAAACAACCACAACAACAACAAAAAAAAAACCACTGAATTATATACTTTAAAATGATAAATCTTGTGTAAATTTTACCTCAACAAAAAAATACAAATTAAAACTATAAATAGAACAAAAACGTAGGTCAGTTCTCTTAAGGAAAGATTGAATTTTATCCCTATAGAGGTAATTTTTAAAGGTTTATTTTATTTTTATTTTTTATTTTGTAGAGATAGGATCTTACCATGTTGCCCAGGCTGATCTCAAATTCCTCGGCTCAAGCAATCCTCCCACCTTGGCCTCCCAAAGTGCTGGGATTACAGGCATGAGCTACCATGCCCCACCTAAAAGATTTTTAAGATTAACATAAAAGTTTAATATTTGAGAAAGAGTCTGGATATTTTTAAGACAAATTGGACAAGGGGAATACTGGCAGGGAGGTCAGTTGCAAACGATTCCAGAGGTGATGAGTTTTAATTAAGGCAGGGGGGTAGAGAAAAGAGGATGGCATAAGATAGAATCTCCAAACAGAAGGTACAGCATTTCATGATTGGGCATAGGATTGAAAGATTACAAAGGACTGGGAACATAACGCTGGTAGAAGTAGATGGCAGTGTTACCCAAATTGAGTGATGCACCAGGAACAGGTTTGAGGGGAGTCCTAATCCTTGAGCACCTGCAGATCAGGGAAGGGTGCAGACAATGGATTAGCAGTATGATTGCGATATCTGGGCAAAGGCTAAACTTTTAGAACACTAAGAAACAATTGCTTCTTTGACCAGCCCCAAGGAAAGTAGGTCCATTCAGCCCACAAGTATCATCACTTTCCAGAAAAGTGATCATAATTTTGATAGAATAGACAACAGTCTCAGAGACTCTAAGGCTCTAAGGGTGATCCCTGAATGTGGTTGTAGGCATTAAGTGGGAAAAAAATACTGCCTTCTCAATGTATAAAAATATAGTAGAGTAGGGAGAATGAAAATGGAGGTTAGGTGGAGTCCATCTTAGTGCATTTCTGCTGCTATAATGAAATACCACAGATTGAGTCATTTATAAAGAACAGAAATTTATTTTCTCACAGTTCTAGAGGCTAAGAAGTCCAAGATCAAGGTGCCAGTAGGTTCACTGTCTGCTAAGGGCCTGTTCCCTTCTTCCAAGAGGGCACCTTGTTGCTGCATCCTCACATGGTGGAAGGCAGATGGGCAAAACGGAAGAATGCTATGTCGTCACATGGCAGAAGAGATGGGAGGAAATAAACCCACTCCCTCAAGCCTGTTGGTAAGGGACCTAATCGCATCCATGAGGGTGCTGCCCTTATGACTTAATCATCTCTTAAAGGCCCCAACTCTTTTTATTTGATTTTATTTTTTGTAGAGACAGGGTCTCCCTATGTTTCCCAGGCTGGTCTAAGAATCCTGGGCTCAAGCAATCCTCACACCTCGGCCTCCCACAGTGTTGAGATTACAAGCATAAGCCACTGTACCCGGCCAGGCCCCAACTCTTAATGCTACTACCTTGGCAACTACATTTTAATATATGAATTTTCAGGGACACAGTCAGACCACTGTGGCCCTCGTGCTTCTCCTGTTTTCTTTACAGTTTTCTTTATGTTTAAAGAAAACAGGCATACAGCTACAACAGGTGTGCATGATAGCCAACAAAAGCAAGCCACCGAATCTACCAACCTCCACATTTCTCCCAAGGGAAATGACAACTAAGTCCTCTGGCTGATCCAGGAAAAGACAACAATTAAATGCAAGGTCCTTTACTTCAGAAACCAACATCAACACCAGACTCAATAAACCTTTAGAAGATCAAATCTTTTTGTGGTTCACAACTACTGTAATAGCAGCCAACTCTTCTCCCTGTATCAGGCTCGCCTCCTTCCAATTCATTTTCCAAAATGTAACCAGGTAGATATATTTTAAATGAATTTTGATATTTCATTTTATTTACTTTAACCCTTTAATAACTTATCAGGATAAAGTCCAGATTCTACTGTGGCTTGTGGGGCAGTGAGTAATCTAGTACTGACCTACCTTTCCAACCTCTATTTTTAGACTACTGTCTCCTCTGAATATTTGTACTTCAGAGAGTGATCTAAACTGAGCTTGGAAAGGTAGGCTGGTGCTAGATTGCTTAGTCCTCCATTAGCTATTTTAGATTGCCCCCTCTTTGATTACAAAAATCCAATGCCTTGATCCTATGACCCACTTCCACTCCTAAATATCTACTCAAAATATGCTGTTGTTCACCAAAGTAATGTACAAGGATGTTCACAGCAACACTATACATAATAGTCCCAAATGGGAAACAATCCAGATCACTCACAATAACATAAATAAATGTGGTATCTTCTAAAAAGGGAATACTATACAGCCATGAAATAAAAGTAGATATGGCCATATGCAACCATATGAATGAATCTCACAAACTTAGCATCGCGGGGGAAAAGCAGGTACAGAGGAAATCATAGTATATTGTTCCAAGTACATAAAGTACAAAGATAGTCAAAACTAAACTATGGTGTTGCAAATCAGGGCAGGGTTACCATTGCAGAGAAGCACGGTGGGTCACAAGGGAGCTTCTAGGAAGCTTATAACTCTGCTTCTTGATCTGTATAGTTACATGGGTGTTTGCTTTGTAAAAATTTGTCAAGCTGCACAGTTAAAATTTATGCAGTATTCTGTGAAGTCATATCACGATTGTTTACACTTTAAAAAATTATCTCCCTTCTTACTCAGCATCCACTTTTGCCTGGCTAATGCTTGCTCCTACAACTTTCAGTTTCTTCCAGAAGTTCTTTTCTAAACTCTTAGACTATTTTAGCTCATCATGCTGTGTGTTCAAAGTTCCCCGTTGTTCTCCTATCTTAACAACTCTTCATATTTAATTACAAATAGTTGTTGAATCAAGTTTTGCAAATTGGCTTTATATATCTTTTCAGGCACATTGTGAAAGTGCACAACTTTTAATAGGGGGCATGCGAAGGGAGTAAGATTTAATAATACTCCCCGAGGGTAGACTATCAGCCCTGGTGCAGTGCAAAAGATAGAAGGGTAAACTAGTTATCTATTGCTGTGTAACAAATTACTACAAATTTAGCAGCTTTATACAGCACATATTTATCATCTCATAGTTTCTGTGTTTCATAAATCCAGGCAGAGATTAGCTGGGTCCTCTGTTTTGGGGTCTCCCAAGGCTGCAATTAAGGTGTCACTTGGGCTGCATTTCTTTTAGGAGTCTCAGGGTCTTAGGCTCACATGGTTGTGGTTGTTGGTCTATCTTTCCATACTGTTCCTTGCAGCTGTACGACTGAGATCCCTGCTTTCTTGCTTGCTGCCAGCTGAGGGCCATTCTCTGCTCATAGAGTCTGCTCATATTCCATCTCGCAGGCCCTCTCACAGGCTTCTCAACATGGTAGCTTCTTCAAGGCCAGCAAGGGAGTGTCTGTTGCTCTAGTCAGCTAAAAGGGACTTATGTAACAGAATTAATTATGAAAATGACATCCTACCATCTCTGCCCTATAAGTTAACCTAATCAAGGGATAAATATCTCATCACCTTTTTCACATTCTATTGGCTAGAATAAGACATGTGAGAAGCAAGAAGCAAATCCAAGGCTCTGCCCACATTCAAGGGGAGGATATTATACAAGGGCATAACTCATTTGGGGTTCTCTTAGAATTCTGCCAACCACAAAAAGAGTAAAAAAAATCCCACAACATAGATGTGGGAGCCAACCTCCATGATGGCACCTAATGATCATACCTTTGTATAATCCCCTCTCACACTGTATCATGTTTGGTTTATGTGACCAATAAAGTATGGCAGAAGTAATGGCATGTGACTTCTGAGGCTAGATCATAAAAGACAATGCAATGTTCACCTATTTGTCACTAGTTCTCAGGAAGGCTAGCTACCATGCCATGAGGACTTTTCAACAGCCCTTTGGAGCGCCCCATGTGGCAAGGAACTCAGACCAACTGCCAATGCCAATAAGGTTGCCAGATAAAAAACAGAATGCCAGTTAAATTTGTATTTCAGATAAACAATGAGTAATCGTTTAGCATAAGTATGTCTCAAATACTGCATGGGACATACTTATATTACAAAATTTTTCATTGTCTATCTGAAATTCAAATTTAACTCGGCATCCTGAGTTTTGATTTTGTGTATGTTTCCCATAATTTGGTAACCCTACGTGCCAGGGGCCATGAGAGTGACCAAGCTTCCTTAAGCCCTGCTTCAGTCAAATCATCTGACCTGCAACTGCAGCTGACATTTTAATTGCAACTTTAGGAGAGACCCTAAATCACAGCCTCCTATGGAAGCTGCTCCCAAATTCCTGCCCCACCCAGAGAGTGAAATAATACATACTTATTATTTAAGGCCACTTGTTTAGGGAGTAATCTGTTACACAGTAAGAGAGGACTAATAAAATATGTAACTGTCTACCCCATTATCTTGGCCAGCCAGCTTGTCTTTTTTATGAGATACAATCATCAAGAACAGTTCCACCATTAAAGGAGCAAACTCCGTTCTCCAGTTGAAGAGTAAGAAGATAGCTCAGAAATGACAGTTAAGTTGGTCATTTATTAATGAAATGCCTCAGCATCTATTTAATCAAATTAAATCTGTCAAACAGGACTTCTTGTTAGGGAAGTCAGAAGGCATTTTTTGTTGTTCTTACTTACTGAAGTTGGCAACAGCAGCTTCAACATAACAAAGCCTGACAGCTTGATTCAGCCTAAAAATGCTGATGACAGGCAAGTGATGTCTGCTGTAAACAGAAGGTCCCACAGTTCCTCAAGCAAACATGAAAATGGCAAATGCACATTACACAACTGAGAGATCAGGCAGTGTCCACTCTGCCGCCGGAGAAATGAAAAGATGTTTAAAAATGATTTACACATTATTAAACATGCAGCTGGAGAGAAGAAAGGAAAAATGGGTAACCAAAGGATCTCAAGAGTAGTGGTTCTTAAATGGGGGCTGTTTCTCCCCCCTCTCCCAGGCGACACTTAGCAACTTACAAAAACATTTTTGGTTGTCAGCACTAGGGGCAGGTATTACTGGAAGCTATTGGGTTGACACCAAGGATGCTGCTAAACATCCTACACTGCCCCCACATCAAATAATTATCCAGCCCCAAATGTCATCAGTGCCAAGGTTGAGAAACCCTGCTTAAGAGAGGTATAAACACACTATTTGTTATACTGACAAAACAGATTGCTGTAATTCTCTGGTATTCAGGAAATTTCTACTATGAAAATATTTAGTTCATTGATCTAGTCTATGGCTCTTTGATTTATTCATTCTACATTCATATATTCATACATTTATTTGTTCATTCAACAAAATTTTATTGAGTGCTTCAGAGTGCCAGGTGTTTTGGGAAAAACTAACATGCATAAGAAATTCATTCATTCAGCTATTAAATAAGTTAGTAAGCACCCAGAAGTAATGAGGGATGAATCAAATATGTGTTCTTCCTTCAAAACAATACAAAATTTAGAGTTAATAGTAAAGTGAAGCAAAATCCTACTGACTCAACGAAGCTTTGTATTAATATAATTCTAATAATGGGTAACTTTCTTAAGGCAAACATTTGAAGAGCAGTTGTCACTGTCGGCTAGTTGAAGAATACATCATTAGGCCAATGTATAAAACTACCTGGATATATGTGTTTTCATTAACTCATCTTTCTTTTTCTTTTTTTTTTAAATTTTCTTCAACTTATAAGTCCAGGGGTACATGTGCAGGATGTGCAGGTTTGTTATATAGGTAAACATGTGCCATGGTGGTTTGCTGCACAGATCATCCCATCACCTAGGTATTAAGCCCACCATTCATTAGCTATTTTTCCTGATGTTCTCCCTCCCCAACTCCCCACCCAATCAGGCCCTAATGTGTGTTGTTCCCCATCCTCATGTGTCCACGTGTTCTTGTCATTCAACTCCCACTTATAAGTGAGAACATGCAGTGTTTGGATTTCTGTTCCTGCATTAGTTTTCTGAGGATAATGGCTTCCAACTCCATCCATGTCCCTGCAAAGGACATGATCTTGTTCCTTTTTATGGCTGCATACCCCACGGTGTATATATACCACATTTTCTTTATCTAGTTTCCTTGATGGGCATTTGGGTTGATGCCATGTCTTTGCTGTTGAGAATAGTGCTGCAATGAACATACACGTGCATGTATCTTTATAATACAGTGATATATATTCCTTTGTGTCCATGCCCAGTAATGGGATTGCTGGGTCTAAGGGTATTTCTGCCTCTAGGTCTTTGATGAATCACCATACTGTCTTCCATAATGGTTGAATTAATTTACACTCCCACCAACAGTGTAAAAGCATTCCTTTCTCTCCACAACCTTGTCAGCATCTGTTGTTTTTTGACTTCTTAATAATAGCCTTTCTGACTGGTGGGAGATAGTATCTCATTGTGGTTTTGATTTTTCATTTCTCTAATGATCGGTGACATTGAGCTTTTATTAATATGTTTGTTGGCCCCATGTACATCTTCTTATGAGCAGTATCTATTCATATCCTTTGTCCACTTTTCATTGTTTTTTTTTTCTTGCAAATTTGTTTAAGTTCTTTGTAGACTCTGGATATTAGACCTTTGTCAGATGGAGAGATTGCAAAAATTTTCTCCCACTCTGTAGGTTGTCTGTTTACTCTCTTGATAGTTTCTTTTGCTGTGCAGAAGCTCTTTAGTTTAATTAGATCCCATTTGTCAATTTTTGCTTTTGTTGCTATTGCTTTGGGCAATTTCGTCATGAAATCTTTGCCTGTGCCTATGTCCTGAATGGTATTGCCTAGATTTTCTTCCAGGAATTTTATAGTTTTGGATTTTACATTTAAATCTTTAATCCATCTTGAGTTAATTTTTGTATATGGTGCAAGGAAGGAGTCCAGTTTCAGTTTTCTGCATATGGCTAGCCAGCACTCCCAGCACCATTTATTAGACAGTCCTTTCCCTATTGCTTGTTTTTGTCAGTTTTGTTGAAGATCAGATGGTTGTAGGTGTTCAGTCTTATTTCTGAGTTCTCTATTCTGTTCCATTGGTCTATATGTCTGTTCTTATACCAGTACCATGCTGTTTTGGTTACTGTAGGCTTGTATAGTTTGAAGTTGGGTAGTGTGATGCCTCCAGATTTGTTCTTGGCTATTTGGGCTCTTTTTTGGTTCCATATTAATTTTAAAGTAGTTTTTTCTAATTCTGTGAAGAATGTCAGTGGTAGTTTAATGGGAATTGCATTGAATCTATAAATTACTTTGGGCAGTATAGCCATTTTCATTATATTGATTTTTCCTATCCATGAGCATGGAATGTTTCTCCATTTGTTTGTGTCCTCTCTGATTTCTTTGAGCACTGGTTTGTAGTCTTCCTTGAGGAGGTCTTTCACTTCCCTTGCTAGCTGTATTCATAGGTATTTTATTCTTTTTGTAGCAATTGTGAATGGGCGTTCATTCATGATTTGGCTCTCTGCTTGCCTGTTGTTGGTGTATAAGACTGTTGGCAATTTTTGCACATTGACTTTATATCTTGAGACTTTGCTGAAGTTGCTTAACAGCTTAAGAAGCTTTTGATTTGAGACATTGGGGTTTTCTAAATATAAAATCATGTCATCTGCAAATAAAGATAATTTGACTTCTTCTCTTCCTATTTTAATATGCTTTATTTCTTTCTCTTGCCTGATTGCCCTGGCCAGAACTTCTAATATGATGTTGAATAGGAGTGGTGAGAGAGGGCATCCTTGTTTTGTGCCGGTTCTCAAGGGGAATGCTTCCAGATTTTGCCCATTCAGTATGATATTGGCTGTGGGTTTGTCATATATGGCTCTTATTATTTTGAGTTATCTTCCTTCAATACCCACTTTATTGAGTTTTTAACATGAAGGGATGTTGAATTTTATCAAAGGCCTTTTCTGCATCTATTGAGATAGTCATGTGGTTTTTGGCATGAGTTCTGTTTATGTGATTAATCACATTTATTTATTTGCATATGTTGAATCAACATTGCATCCCAGGGATGAAGCCAACTAGATCATGGTGGATAAACTTTTTGACCTGCTGCTGGACTCAGTTTGCCAGTGTTTTATTGAGGATTTTTGCACTGATGTTCATCAAGGATATTGGCCTGAAGTTTTCTTTTTTTGTTGTTGTATCTCTTCCAGGATTTGGTATCAGGATGATGCTGGCCTCATAGAGTGAGTTAGGGAGGAGTCCCTCCTTTTCAATCTATTGGAGTAGTTTCAATAGAAATGGTACCAGATCTCCTTTGTACTTCTTGTAGAATTCAGCTGTGAATCCGTCGGGTCCTGGGCTTTTTTTGCTTGGTAGGCTATTTATCACCGCCTCAATTTCAGAACTCGTTATTGGTCTATTCAGAGATTCAATTTCTTTCTGGTTCAGTCTTGGAAGGGTTATGTGTTCAGGAATTTATTTATTCTAGATTTTCTAGTTTATGTGCATAAAGGTGTTTGTCATGTTCTCTGATTGTTATTTGTATTTCTGTGGGGTCATTGGTGATATCTTCCTTATCATTTCTGATTGTGTTTATTTGAGTCTTGTCTCTTTTCTTCCATATTAGTCTAGCTAGTGGTCCATCTGTTTTATTAATTTTTTCAGAAAACCAGCTCCTGGATTCATTGATTTTTGAAGGGTTTTAGTGTCTCCATCTCCTTCAGTTCAGCTCTAATCTTGGTTATTCCTTGTCTTCTGCTAGTTTTGGGGTTTGTTTGCTCTTGGTTCTCTAGTTCTTTTAGTTGAGATATTAGGTTAACTTGAGATCTTTCTAGCTTTTTGATGTGAGGATTTAGTGCTATAAATTTTCTTCTTAACACTCCTTTAGCTGCATCCCAAAGATTGTGATATGTTGTCTCTTTGTTCTTATTTGTTTCAAAGAACTTCTTGATTTCTGCGTTAATTTCATTGTTTACCCAAGAGTCATTCAGGAGCAGGTTGTTCAATTCCCATGTAGATGTGTCGTTTTGAGTAAAGTTCTTAATCTTGAGTATGTTGTGAACTGAGACTGTGTGTTATGACTTCAGTTCTTTTGCATTTGCTAAGGAGTGTTTTACTTCTGATTATGTGATCAATTTTAGAGTAAGTGCCATGTGGGCAATGAGAAGAATGTATATTCTGTTGAATTTGGGTGGAAAGTTCTGTAGATATCTATCAAGACCACTTGATGCAGACCTGAGTTCAGGTCCTGAATATCTTTGTTAATATTCTGCCTTGATGATCTGTCCAATATTGTCAGTGGGGTGTTAAAGTCTCCCACTATTATTGTGTGGGAGTCTAAGTCTCTTTGTAGGTCTTTAATCACTTGCTTTATGAATCTGGGTGCTCTTATATTGGGTGCATATATATTTAGGATAGTTAGCTCTTCTTGTTGAATTGAACCCTTTACCATTATGCCCTTCTTTGTCTTTTTTGATCTTTGTTGGTTTAAAGTATGTTTTGTCAGAAACTAGGACTGCAACCCCTGCTTTTTTTCTGTTTTTCATTTGCTTGGTAAATTTTCCTCCACCCTTTATTTTGAGCCTATGTGTGTCTTTGCACGAGATGGGTCTCTTGAAGACAGCACACTGATGGGTCTTGGCTCTTTATCCAGCTTGCCATTCTGTGCGTTTTATTTGGGGCATTTAGTCGTTTTACATTTAAAGTTAGTATTGTTATGTATGAATTTGATCCTGTCATTGTGATGCTAGCTGGTTATTTTGAAGACTTGTTTATGTGATAGATTCATAGTGTCACTGGTCTGTGTACTTCAGTGTGTTTTTGTAGTGACTGATAATGGTTTTTCCTTTCCATATTTAGAGCTTCCTTCAGGAGCTCTTCAAGGCAAGCCTGGTGGTGATGAATTCCCTAAACATTTGCTTGTCTGAAAAGGATCTTATTTCTCCTTTGCTTATGAAGCTTAGTTTGGCCAGATACGAAATTTTGGGTTGGAAATTCTTTCCTTTAAGAATGTTGAATATTGGCCCCCAATCTCTTCTGGCTTGTAGGGTTTCTGCTGAGAGGTCCGCTGTTAGTCTGATGGGTTTCCCTTTGTAGGTGACCTGGCCTTTCTCTCTGGCTGCCCTTAACATTTTTTCTTTCATTTTGACCAAGGAGAATCTGATGATTATGTTTCTTGGGGTTGATATTCTCATGGAGTATCTTAGTGGGGTTCTCTGCATTTCCTGAATTTGACTGTTGCCTGTCTTGTTAGGTTAGGGAGGTTCTCCTGCATGATATCCTGAAGTATGTTTTCCAACTTGGTTCCATTATCCCTGTCTCTCTCAGGTACCCCAATCAGTCGTAGGTTAGGTCTCTTTACATAATCCCACATTTCTAGGAGGTTTTGTTCATTCCTTTTTGTTCTTTTATCTCTTTTCTTGTCTGCCTGTCTTATTTCAGACAGAGCATCTTCAAGCTCTGAGATTCTTTCCTCTGCTTGGTCTATTCTGCTATGGATACTTATGATTGCATTGTAAAGCTCTCCCGACATATTTTTCAGCTCCATCAGGTCGGTTATGTTCCTCTCCAAACTGGCTATTCTGGCTATCAGCTCCTGTACTGTTTTATCATGATTCTTCGCTTCTTTTCATTGGGTTACAACATGCTCCTTTAGCTCAGTGTAGTTCGTTATTACCCACTTTCTGAAGCCTGCTTCTGTCAAGTCAGCCATTTCAGCCTCACCCCAGTTTTGTGCCATTGCTGGAGAGGTGTTGCAGTGATTTGGAATAGAAGAGGCAATCTGGCTTTTTGAGTTTTTGGTGTTTTTATGTTGATTCTTTCTCATCTTTGTGGGGTTATCTACCTTCAATCTTTGAGGTCACTGACCTTTGAATGAGTTTTTTGTGAGGTATTTTTTGTTGTTCATGTTGTTGTTGTTGTTTTCTGTTTGTGCAGTTTGTTGGGGTCTGCTCTAGACTCCAGTTGCCTCAGTTTCTCCTGTACCTGGAGGTATCACCAGTGAAGGCTTCAAAACAGCAAAGATGGCAGCCAGCTCCTTCCTCTAGAAGCTCCATCCCAGGGGGATACTGACCTGTTGCTGGCCCCCACATACCTGTAGGAGGTGGCTGGAGACCCTCATTGAGAAGTCTCAGTCAGTCAGGAGGAATGGGATCAAGGACCTACCCAAAGAAGCAGACTGGCTGCAGATGTGCTGTGTTGGGGGCTGGAGGGGTTGGGGGGCCTTCCTTGTCCAGACCACCTGTATTCTCCAAAGCTAGCAGACTGAAACAGTTGAGTTGACTGAACTGCAGAGATGGTGGCCGCTCTCTCCCTGGGAGCTCCATCCCAGGGAGATATCAAAGTTCTGTCTATAGAACCCTGGCTGGAATGGCTGAAGCCCCCACAGGGAACTCCTGCCCAGTGAGGAGGAATGGACTGGGGTCCTGCTTAAAGAAGCAGTCTGGCTACAATCTGGCAAGGCAGCTATGCTTCATTGTTGGGGACCCTTCCTTATCTGGATTGTCTGTGTTCTCCACAGCCAGCAGGCTGGAGTGGCTGAGTTGACTGAGTTGCATAGGTGGCAGCTGCCCCTCCTCCCAGGAACTCGAACCCTTCTCAGGCAGACTCCAACCAGCTGCTGTTGGACGGCTGGGATTCCAAGCCAGTGGGTCTTAACTTGTGAGGTTCCATGGAAGTGGGGCATGCAGAATGATGCTGCCTGGCTCCCTGGATTCAGTCCCCTTCCTAGTGATATGTACAAATGGATTTCCTGCCTTGCAGGGGATCCCAGGGCCAGAGTATATAAAACTCCTGGATCTCGGTGTGTGCCTGAGCAGCTGCTCTGCCACGACTCCACATAGCTCTGTGTACCAGACCCAAGGCCCTGGTGGCCTGGACTGAGGAGGGGATCTCCTGATTCAAGGGTTGCAAAGAATCATGGGAGAAGCATGGTTTCCCAGGCAGAGTCACACAATCACTCGCTGCTTCCCTTGGCTAGGGGTGGGAGTTCCTTTGGCTCCATGCTGCTCCCGGGTGGGTCATGGCCACACCCCTTCCCCCACCACCACCCCACTTACTTTTCTTCGTTTTTCATGGGTTGAGCTGTTTGCCCAGTCAGTTCCAATGCAAGAACCTGGATATCTCAGTTGAAGGTGCTGAATTCACTCGCCCGTTTTCATTCCTCTCCATGAGTGCCACAGACTGCAGATGCTTCTAATCAGCCATCTTGGATCCCAATCTATTTTTCTTTAATTTAGTACCGCATATAGAAATTTATAAGGAGATTTTTAAAAGGTGTTTGTGAACAACAGCAATTAAGTGAAAGCTAAAACTTTAGTGATGATTGAAGAGCTGGCTCTAGGATGCATGCATGCCTTGCACAAAAATGCAGCTAAAAAGAAAGCCTAAATAAACATTTCATGTCAGCAATGGCAGGGGTCTGTGAGAGCTCTGAACATACCTCTTGTGAATAGTAAGGTGTCATAATATTACTATGGGAATCAGAAAATGGGAGAATCTAGGAGATTTAGAACAGGTTTCAAAGGCAAGCAAGGCAAAGGTATAGTCATAAAGCAGTTTAGCTGACATGCAGGATGCTGGAAGAAAAAGGAGAGAGAAATACAGGTACAGAGCCCATGACTGCATTTTAGAGGATGCTCAATGCTCAATGAGATTCTCACATCTAAACAAAGGCATGGAGGAGGGGAGGAAAGGAATACTGAACCTTTATATTGTTAAGTATTCCTTTAATAAAACTATCTTTAGCAGAATGGGATTGCTTGGCTCTTGTAAACAGCAAGAGTGGGACTCTAGTGAGAGATACCTGAAGCAGGAGATATATATCACCAGGGCACTCTGTATGTGTCCACTTTCTTCTTTCCTGGTACCTTCTCCATGAAGTGAAACCATCTTTGCTCACAACCTCACATCTCTACACCCATTGAGGTTCGCTCTCAAAGAAGTCCCGGGGAAGAGTCTTAATTTGTCTGGCCTGATACACAGATCCATTAGGTGAACCAGATACAACGGTGTGGTGAGGTTCTATATTTCACAGGACCCACCCAAATCATATAATTAGACTGAGAAAGGAGCAACTGCCTCAAAGAAGGAGAGCAAATAAAGATCTGACAAAATAATAAATGCCTACTACTTAAATGTCAAAAAACAGCATAATAAATTCGAGTATGAAAAATATTAAGTAGCTATTAAAAATTTAAATTATTGTTTTATAAATTTAATGAGATCCCAATGAGTGCCAATCATTTTTGTCTAGAACCAGTCATTCTAATTGAAAAGTTAAATGACAAAATATACAAGAATAGCTAGGCAAAAGCCTGAAGAATAACAAAAGTAATGAAGAATGACAAGTGCTACTAGATATTAAAACATATTTATAATGTTCAAAATTATTTTAAAATATGGAGCTGATACACAACCAGAAATGCCAATGCAACTGAATAGTCCAGAAATATAAAATAGAAATCCATATGAGGATTTAGCATATGATAGAAGGGGGCATCTCAAACCTATTTGGTAAAGTTGGGCTTTTTAATCAATGGCAATAGGGACAATTGGGTAGCCTTCTGGAAAAAGAAAAGTTGGCTCCATACTTCACAGTGTGCACCAACATCAACTCCAAATGGATCAATTTTAAAGGTAAAACTTTGAAATCTTAAAAGTACTAAAGAAAGGAAAATGAACAAATTTCCTAGAAGTAGAAAAAACTTTCCTATGATTTATGTGAAGTATACAACTCAGAGGAAAAGTACAAATGTTTTAATAGTCATTGTCTTTCCTATCTTTTCACAGGTAACAAAGGGTCAGATTCTGAAAGCCCTGGCCATGTCTCTTTATTGTCCGTAAACAATAACATTTCTTTTTGAGGCTCCCTTCTATTTCCACTCTGTTATTTTTATTTATTTATTTATTTATTTTGAGATGGAGTCTTGCTCTGTCGCCCAGGCTAGCGTGCAGTGGCACAATCTCGGCTCACTGCAAGCTCCGCCTCCCGGGTTCCTGCCATTCTCCCGCCTCAGCCTCCCAAGTAGCTGGGACTATAAGCGCCTGCCACAACGCCCGGCTAATTTTTTGTATTCTTAGTAGAGACGGGGTTTCACTGTGTTAGCCAGGAGGGTCTCGATCTCCTGACCTCATGATCTGCCCGCCTCGGCCTTCCAAAGTGCTGGGATTACAGGCGTGAGCCACCGCACCCGGCCTCCACTCTGTTATTTCTATTTCTCTAATGTTTTTTTTTTTTTTTTTTTTTTTTTTTTACTTTGGTACCGTCATTCTGACTTTCTATTTCTCCTTCCTTCTGGGGGATCCTTCCTTTGACTTGCCAGCTCCCATCTTCGCGCTTCTATACTTGAAGACTTTCTTGCTGCTGATCGTGTCCCTGCCTGCCTTCCTCTATCTTTCAATACAATTGATACTTGGCCAGGCATTGTGGGACAAAAGAACTCAGAAGAACTAGCTGAGCCAGGAGAAGGTGTTGCGAAGGCAGGCAGGACTCCTGTAGCTGCTGGGAAGCAGTAAGGGCAGGAGGATAGCTATTCGAGACTAGCTCGGCCAGCTAGGCAAGGGTGCAAGCTGTAGCCAAATCCTAAACTGTGGAAATCACTTTTCACAGCCCAGTGAAGTCTCAGCTTGAGCTTATGCTGTGTCACCAAGGAGAACTGAGGCTGTCTGGGCCTCTCTGTGGGCTCAGTGCCAGAAATCTGTTTTGCTTATTTATTTGAGCATTTAAGGGTTCTCCTGAGACAGAACAATATAAAACAAAACAAAACAAAACAAAATCCTGCACAACAAGCTTGATCCAGATATAGTGATCAGAGGATTGGGGCTATTTTGAGTACAGCATCGAGTCAGTTATTTAGAGTTATCTTCCTACCCAGCATCCACAATTGGACAAGTGTGTCCAATACTTATGGAGGGTCCTTGGTCACATTCCTAAGAGCTCTGTAAGGCACTGGGGCATAAGCAGCTGCTATGCAGAGGATGACAGAGAAAAGGGAAATTCTTCACCCACTTCATACCAAGTCCTCAAGAAAGAACAGCAGTGCCCAGTGGACAGGTCATCAATACCTACAAACTCACAGGGACAAGTCACAGCCTGAGCCCAACAGGCCTGATGGAAAGAAAAATTCGTGATTTGTTTATGGGCACGTCTGATATGCCCTGATAGCTCTCGAAATCACTGGGGTGGGGGTGGGGGAAGGGGAGGAGGAGAGCCCTGCAATGGCAGGAATGGTGGAAATAAAGAAAAAAGAGGTTTCCTCTGAGAAGCTATACATCATCAGCTTGGGTGTGGTATTTTTTCAGAGTGCTTTTTGTTTCATCAGCAATGATAAAGCAAGTAGTTCAGACTGATTTGGGTCTCTGATCCTAGGGAAAATGCCCACCCGCTTCAGGTTGTCAAAAATACCTGTTGGACATTTGGCCAGGATGGTTGGGAGGGCTGTTGGGGAAAGAGCAACAGTTCAAATCTTGGCTCTGTCAGAAATGAGCAATGAGACTTGGAATTTGTGCCCGAACCTCTCTGGGCCTCCGTTTTTTCTTTGTAAAATAAAGAGGTTGTGCTATATCAGCAATTTGTAAATGGTATTGAATAGCGCACTCCAGTCTAGGGAGTGCCTGGGCTGAGAAAAGGGGACTGTGAAGGCTGGCTGAGATGGCCCTAGGCCCCCAGCCCCACCTCTCCAAGAGCAACAGCATACATGTCAGTTTCACATATTGCAGCTACTTAGTTGTTTTTATTTGAGGGAAAATCTTGACTGCTAAAATAAACTTGGACAACCACTTAACCAAAATAGTAATTCAAAGGAAACACCACAGTAGAGCTATGAGGACTAATGGGTACTATTAGCAAGAGAGAGGAGTGTTTATCTTGCAGGTGTGCCATTCTGAACTTCCTAAGGATTCTGGGCAAAATGGAACTCACTAATGCAAGAAATGAAGACATGCCATCTGGGCCACGTTGGGTGGGCTTGTAAGGCAGTTGAGGTGTTGAAGCTAGAGAGAAGGGTTGGAAGATAAAGTAGAAAGAGGAATCAAGGAAAGAGGATTACTGGGTACTCATGTGAAATGAGCTCAAAGTAACTGGAGGGTGCCTAGAGGGGAACAGTGGGGCAACACTGGCCTCATCTACTGGTCTCCACAGGCATTCCTGCTTTATCACATGTAAGAATGCGTTGTTTCTGAAGCCTTGCCAGGCATTGCTGGGTCTAAAAGCAGGTTAACAAAATAAAACCAATCATTACAATACTGAAATACTTAAAGGTTTATAAACTCAACTCGTAAAGATTCAAAAGCCTCTCTTAAATGAAGGTCTGCTGGTAGTGTAAATTAGCTGATTTTTCACAGGGGTCTACCTATTAGGACACCTGCTGAGAGTTATCACTCAGTTGGCAGTTACTTATCATCACTTCAGGAGAGATTGAAAATAGCATATTATTTTTCTAGGATGGGAAAGTAATGTTATTCTACCAGTTCAAATTCCTGAGATTACAATTTGCATTACTCAATATTTTTTTAAATTCTATCTGCTCCAAATAGATAAATATTCAGTGCTGAAAATGGAATTCAGGGGATAATTACTGGATTCATATAAAGCTGCAATTATAGTAATCTGATGATTTCAATTACTCTGGCTTTCTCTTTGACAAGGATGACTGAAACACAGTAAAATTAGAACCCATAGGTCATATAAAGGTAAGATCACTGGACAGCATTTTGTATGGAAATATTCACTCCTAAATATGACTCATTAGCATCACAGTAACAAAATGTTGCAAAGCTTTCCTTCTACAAAGAAGATTGGCACATCCTGTCTTACCCAATAACATTCATTCTACTCCTCCTGTCCCCAACAAAATGTAACAGGAAACAATCAATCACTACCCGATATCACGATCTTTCAATGACTGCTTCCCAAATGCTGGAGTGAGCAAAGCAGTATGAATTCAAATCATGGCTCCTTTGGAGACTTGTTATAAGATATATGTGAGTTCTCTGGATCTCTAAGACCTACATGTTGCTTGCAGCATGGCCCTCCAAATTCTTACATTTGGAATGTGAGGTTCCTCCCTGCCTTCCTCCTCAATGTCCAGAACAAAACAATAGCCAATAATAAGAAAGAAAATAAAAATGAAAAACCCACCATGTATGAAAAATTCTATTATTTAAAGAGGGAAAGGGAGGACATTTTCTAGCATTTAACAGGTGCTGCTGTTAACCTACTTACATGGTTTCTGAGGTTGAAATAAACTCTGCACAGCTCCTGGAGATTTCTTTAGTCCAGTGATTCTCAACAAAGAGTGATTTTGCTTCCTAGGGGACATTTTGTTTCAATGTCTGATGATATTTCTGGTTTTCTTAACTTGAGAAAGTGCTACTAGGATGTAGTGGGTATAGGTCAAGGATGCTGCTAAACATCCTGCAGTGCACAGGACAGCCATTCATGATAAAGGATGATCCAGTCCAAAATGTCACTAATGCTGAGGTTCAGAATTCCCACCTAACCCAACTGAGACATCATGCATCATTTGTCAATGGTGCTTAACTGTACTAAAATAGAGAAGCTCATAAATCATTCCATTGTGTCATATAATAGAGATTAATCCTAGATGATGGCCAGAAGAGCAAGAGGTTGCCAAAGACTGGCAAAGTGAGGCAATTTCAGATTTAACATATGTGGAAGACCTATTGTGTGCCAGCTTCCCAGGTAACCCCTTCAACTCGATGAATAATTCTCTGAAGTAGGCAGAACTATGTTCATTTAAAGAAGCACAATCTAAGACTATGAGTTTAGTCATATGTTCAAGGTCTCTCAGCTAGGTAGTGAGACAGAGTTCAATCCCAGACCATTTTCCTTTCAACAGAATTTGGAAATGGAAGGTGGTACATAACACATGCCAAGCATATGCTAGAGGAAATCATGTGATAGAAATTGAGATTTCTTTTACCACTTCTGTATGTCCTTCCCGTGGCTTCTGCTTAAAATGGTCTATAACCTGTGACTTTGTTCAGAAGATACCACTGAAAGCCACTTTGGTCCTATGCATGGGGCAAAGCACATGATGCCTGGGATTCTACTTGCCCCTGAGCAGTCCTTCACCAATAACTCAGGACTTTGAGAGTATAAAAGTCCAACTCCTGTTCCTCAAGGTAAGACAAAGGCTGAGAAGTAACTTACACTCCAGAGTTCCTCTGCATGATCAGGTTGAAATACCCAAGCAAGACAAAAATCACACTCTTCCCTGTCCTGTTTCCCTAACTCCTTCACCATTTTCTCCTGAGAGCACTTCTTTAAGAAATCACTTGCACACAAATTCTTATCTCTGGGCCTGTTTCTGGGGAACCCAATCCAACACATAAGAAGAGATATCTTGCAGGGCCAGGGAGGTTGGAGTGCTTCTCAGAGTAAAAGGACATTTAACTGGGCTTTGGTGGGTGCTATGGTTTGAATGTACCCCTTCAAAATTCTGGTATTGCCAATGTGACAGTATTAAGAGGTGGGATCTTTAAGAGATTATTAAGCCATGAGGGCTCCTCCCTCATGACTGGGATTAAGGTCGTCATAAAAGAGGCTTCAAGCAGTAGTGTTTGTCTCTTGCCTTTCTACCTTCCCCCATGCCCACCATTTGAGGACACAGCAAGAAGGCCCTCAGCAGACACCAAATGCCAGTGCCTTAATCTTGGACTTCCCAGCCCCTCCAGAACTGTGAAAAATAAATTTCTGTTCTTTATAAATTACCCAGTCTCAGGTATTTTGTTGCAGCACAGAATGGACTAAAACATTGCGATAATAATCAGAAGATAGAGAAGGAAGTGAGGACTAGATGATAGTGGAAGATAAGGTCTGAGAGATGGGCTGTACCCAGAATGAGTCAAACTAATGTATTTGGATATATCCTGTGAGCAATGGAAAACTATTAACAATTTTTCAGTAAGAGAGAACATTCCACATGAAACAGAATTGCTACATTAATAAACCTTAGTTGATACTAAACATAATTTATTGGACATTTTCCAAGTGTGTTACTAAGTAATGGGGAACCTGAAAGTACAGCAAAATGTAATAAAAGAAAATGAAAAATTCTTAGGTGTTGATTACTTTCTCTGTACAAAGGGGCTTTGTGCTCCAGAAATACATGAATAGACCAAATTACTTTGAACTATGATTATAACCAAACCATAAAAAGGAAACTTGTGTTCCCGAAGCCTGGGACCACTTATTTTACAAAATGCAACACTTACCTCTATAAGAAGCTAATTTTCTAACATGAAACAGGAAAACTACTCGGTATGTCAGAAAAAGTGTGGTCGTTTTTTATTTGTTTATTATTAAATATTCCCTACTATGTGTCAAACGCTGAATAGGTTATTTAAAAGGAAATATTAAAGTCGAATATTGAAATCACTTTCTGAGTTTTTAATCTCTCTTTTCTGTACATATAAACAGAAGAGTTACCTACAACATTAAATCTTTGAGATCTAAAAAGCAAGTTATAAATGACAGTCAAGTAGAAACTCTGTTAAACTTTTTAAATGACTATCTAAAACATTCTGAAAGAAATTATTTTGATGTGAATAACACAGAAGGTTAGAGTTCAGTCTATACTTGATTAACAATGTTACAATTCAATTTTAATTTAACATTTATTGCCTAGATCAGGGGCCAGCAGATTTTACCGTAAAGAGCAAGATAGTAATTATTTTAGGCTTTGCAAGCCAGATGGTTTCTGTTGCAATTACTCAACCCTGCATTGCGGTACAAAAGCAGCCATAGATATTACACAAATAATGGGTATGTCTGTGTCCCAATAAAACTTTATGGACACTGAAGTTTGATTTTCATATAATTCTCATGTGTCACAAAATATTCTTGGTTTTTTTTGTTTTTTTTTTCCAACCATTAAAAAAATGTAAAAACCATTGCTAGTTCACAAGCAGGCTGTATAAAAACAGGTAATGGACGAATTTGGCCCAAGAAATTGGTGTCCCAATTTTTTCCCCAAAGCAGGGCTGAGGCAAGGGCTTGGGTACAGACAGTTTATTTGGGAGGCAGCCCCAGGAAGCAAGAGTGAGGTAACATGGAGAGAGAAAAGGAAAGAAAGAGATATCAAGAAAGAGAAAAAAACCAACAAAGTATGTGTTGCTGAGTTGGTTACTGCAGGCAGTTGGGCTCTATCCCACTAGAGACTCTCTGAGAAACTGGTAGCATATGCTGTAGGCTGAGCGTGGTGGCTCA
The DNA here is from genome assembly GCF_000001405.40 of Homo sapiens. Lineage (NCBI taxonomy): Eukaryota > Metazoa > Chordata > Mammalia > Primates > Hominidae > Homo > Homo sapiens. Next base: position 14,781,167 of record NC_000023.11, read on the forward strand.
TGCCTGTAATCCCAAAACTTTGGGAGGCTCAGGTGGGCGGATCACTTGAGGTCAGGAGTTCAAGACCAGCCTGACCAACATGATGAAACACCATGTCTATTAAAAATACAAAAATTAGCCAAGTGTGGTGGTGGATGCCTATAATCCCAGCTAGCTACTTGGGAGGCTGAGGAACGAGAATCACTTGAACCCAGGAGGCAGAGGTTGCAGTGAGCCGAGATCACACCACTCTACTCCAGCCTGGGTGATGGAATGAGAGTCTGTCTCAAAAAATAAATAAATAATAAAATAAATATTTCTTTTAAAAAAAATAAAAGATGAATGTGCTTTAGAAATGCCTCTCTGAAGGATGAGAGGCAGAAGGCTAGAGTCATTATCTACTGAATACAGTCCCTTCACTTCAGGTTCCCCCACCTGTGGGTCATTAAACCTCCCTCTGCTTTGGCAAAAGCCCCCAGGCAAAAAAGTAAAGAGGTGGTTCAAGAACTCAAGATGAGATACTGCTGGCCAGCTTGGGAACTTTCTACCAGAGCAGCATCCACCATCACAAGTGGGCCATGGGGATATGGCACAAGGAACAAAAAGTGTTTGCTACAGAGGGTAATACCATTTATTTCTGTAATATTCTATTTCTGTGGGAGCCTAAAATCACAGATTTGAGGAGATTAATATTCTAAAAGCAAGGTCACTCACAAGCTATAAAGTTAAAAACTCAGAAGAAAGCCAATATCCTAGGGGCCTTATCCAACTGGCCACACACCCAGAAAGAAATGTTGGTCATGGATTGGAAAGCAAACTCCTGAAATCAAAACTTACAACTGCAGGTCTAAGTGGACCAATTTAGAATGTTTGTGAGCAGTTACTAAGTGTAGGTGAGTCTGTAGCTTTTTAGATAAGGTCACCAGCAGTGAAGAGGGCACTGTTCATGCAACAAAGGATGAGTCCTAACAACTCTTTCTGGAAGAAAGGGCATTAAGATAGACTCTTAGCCTGAGGTCTTAATCTATCACTCAGAAGAAAATGAGGAGAAATATCACTGTTTGTAATCAAGTTGGACAGGGGGACATTCAAAGATGGGGCAGAGCCCACCAGGAAAGAGAACTCACTCTCAGTGGGAGCTAGCACAAAAACCCAAAGGGAGGCAGAGTCAATATCTGTTGTTTTGTCTGCGGGATTTATTTACCTTTCTTGTAAAATGAAACTCATCAAGTCCTTAGGTATCCTCTTAGGACATCGTATCAACTAATAGTGGACAATGTTCAGCAGATGTTTCTGACTAGACCTCACCCCTCATTTTAACACGAGACTCTGACCACTGTCAGTGTATCTTACTTTTCTGGCCACAGTGATTGGTTCAGGAATAATTTGTGACCCAGTCAGAACTATTAAGAGGTGATTAGTCTTTTTCTAGGGCTTCTTGGAGACAGGACAGTGTCCTTTCTTCCTAGGCCTAAATCCGAGAGGATATGAGGTATATTAAGGCTAGAGCCAGCACCTGAAGCTCAAATTGAAAGCCACAGGGAAGAAGGCAGAGCCAGGAGATGGTAAGAAGCTAGACTCAGAATCCAGCCATATTTATCTGGCCAAGATAGTATGGCACATGCTTCTCAGACATTAATGTGCATACAGACCACCTTGGGCTCTTGATTAGTCGGGGGGTCTTCTTAAAATGCAGATTCTTATTCTAGCAGGTCTAGAATGGAGCCTGAGATGCTGCATTTCTAACAGTCTCCTAAGGGGATGACCATGCTGCTGGTTTGCAGGCCATATTCTGAGTAGCAAGGAAGGAAAATGCACCGAACCTTATGTCCATAATCTGATACAGGAACCCAGCAGTTCAAATTAGGCAGGGCTGAAACAGCTAATTAAGTTGGATGGCTGCTCCTGATTGGCAGTGTGAAACCTAAAGCCTGGAGAACAAAAACCTCATATATCTAAATTTTCACCTCAAGGCACAGATTAAAATCAAAGATTTTCTATAACCATGCTTTAAAAAATATTTTATCCCTTATAGCAAAAAGAATGAAATATCCAAAAATCTAACTCAGACTTTGAATCTGATCGAATCCAAGTTTGCTTGCTGAATCACAGTATCAGTTGAATTCATAGCCCTGCTAGGTCTTTGATGTGAGCAAAGGCAGTGACCTGGAAAGAGTACAATCCCAGCAGTTTAAATGGAAATATCTGAAACACTCTGAGGAGTCCCCTAAATCCCCAACCTCCCAATGAAGCACTTCCCACAGCCTTCTGGGCCTGCAGAGCAGTTCTCCTATCCTTGCTTAAAGAAACTGTTACTTCCTGGCCTGATTATGCTGCCTTGCAGAACAAAGTAATTTGTACCCCACCAGTTATTGTTGCTCAGTCAATAACCATAATCAGATTCTAGCATGCCTGGAAAGGGTTTGAGTGTGGAATCAAACTAGGGAAGAGAAGGCTTATACAATGGAGGCTTTAAGATAGAAAATTGGGGATATTTCTGGGAACAGATCTTAAGGATGTTGAACCCAAAAGGTAAGAATATATAAAAAGAATGGAATTCACAATAAAACAACACATATTTCAATATGAAAAGGTTCAAGCCTGACTACAAGAAAAGACAGGAGTGTTTGGATGCTTGCCCCATTACCTTGAATGCAACAGCTATAAATGCCAAGGAATGCAAATGTGCCTTGTTAGCAATACATGTCTGTATTAATTATTCGTTTCCCATTGTTGCTGTAACAAATTACTACAAACTCAGTGGCTTTTTAAAACAATGCAAGGCCAGGCGCGGTGGCTCATGCCTGTAATCCCAGCACTTTGGGAGGCCGAGGCAGGCGGATCACCTGAGGTCAGGAGCTCGAGACCAGCCTGGCCAACATGGTGAAACCCCATCTCTACTAAAAATACAAAAATTAGCTGGGCATGGTGGTGGGCGCCTGTAGTCTCAGTTACTTGGGAGGCTGAGACAGGAGAATTGCTTGAACCTGGAAGGCGGAGGTTGCGGTGAGCAGAGATCACGCCATTGCCCTCCAGCCTGGGCAACAAGAAGCGAAACTCAGTCTCAAAAAAGAAAAAGATATATCAAATGTATTCTCCTACATTTCTGGAGGTCAGAAGTCTGACACAGGTCTCACTGGGCTACAGTCAAGGTGTTGGCAGGGCAGAGCAGAGCTGCATTCCTTTCTGGAGGTCCTAGAGGATAATTCATTCCCTTGCCTTTTCCAGCTTCCAGAGGCCACCTGGATTCCTCAGCTCATGACTCCTTCCCTTCTCCCATCTCCAAAACCAGCAATCATATCACCCCAACCTCTGCTTCTGTCCTCTCATCTTCTTCTCTGAATTTCCTGCCTCCTTCTTAGTAAGATCTTTGTGCTGGCAAGGTTGCAGAGAAATAGGAACACTTTTACACTGTTGGTGAGAATGTAAATTAGTTCAACCATTGTGGAAAATGGTGTGGTGATTACTCAAAGATTTAGAACCAGAAATACCATTTGACCCAGAAATCCCATTACTGGGTATGTACCCAAAGGTATATAAATCATTCTACCATAAAGACACATGCACGCATATGTTCACTGCAGCACTATTCACAATAGCAAAGACATAGAAGCAACCCAAATGCCATCAATGATAGACTGGATAAAGAAAATGTGGTACATATATACCATGGAATACTATGCAGCCATATAAAGAAACAAGATCATGTCCTTTGCAGGGACATGAATGGAGCTGGAAGTCACTTATCCTTAGCAAATTAACACAGGAACAGAAAACCAAACAGCGCATGTTCTCACTTATAAGTGGGAGCTTAACAATGAGAACACATGGACACAGGGAGGGGAACAACACACACTGGGGCCTACTGTGGGGTGGGGCAAAGGATAAGGAGAGCATTAGGAAGAATAGCTCATGCATGCTGGGTTTAATACCTAGGTGATGGGTTGTAAGTGCAGCACACCACCATGGCACACGTTTACCTATGTAACAAACCTGTGCATCCTGCATATGTACCCCAGAACTTAGAATAAGAATAAAAAGAATCTTGTGATAACAGTGGGCCCACCTAGATAATCCAGGAAAACCTTTCCATCTCCAGATTGTTAATCACGTCTAGAAAGTCCCTTTTGCCGGGTAAGGTAACATATGCACAGGTTCTTGGGATTAGGAATATAATTAACACTGGGTTTTCTAGCCTTACAGTATATCCATGCTAGAGTGCCCATTTCTTTGAGCTTTCTGACCTCTTCTTACACCACCTGCTATGGCAATTCTGCCATTTTTACTTGACTTGGTGCAGGTAACTGCTTTCTCCAAGCTTCCATGAGCCAACCTAATTGTGTATCAGCATACTCTCCTTGCATTCTTACCGAGTGTTAAATCCTGCATCAGAGGAGGATGCACCTAAGTCAATACACTCCCTTTGATCCAACTTTTGCTCTTTCCTTGATCCAGTGTCCTCAAAATCCAGTAGCACAATCCTCCTCTGGTTCCCAACAGCAGCATATGTTGACCAGATCTGGCAGCAACTTTGGGGTATAGTCCCCCTTTCTCTTGGGAGGCCAGCACTTCCCTGGCAGGCTTATATTGTGATGGGACCCTCGTTTATCTGGCTGCAGGAGATGAAAGCTTCCCATCACAGTTCTAACAATCACAGGACTACAGTACGCCAGATGCTGTCTGACCTTTACCTCCCCCAAGTGATGGGGTCCTGATTGCTGGCAAGCTGGTGGGTGATTCCATTTTAGAGTGTGCTTTCTCAGACCACTCCGGGTACCAAACCTCATGGCTACAGGAGTGCTCTTGGGAATGCCTAGAAAAGTCTGAGTAAACAGTTGAGCAGAGAGAGAAGTTAACTGCAGAGAGAAGTTAACTGCAATGTCTTCACCACCATGGCCTCAGCTGAGCCCAGGTGGAGCACTCTGGAGCTCAGATGGTCCTTTCAGTTGTCCTGCCTTGAAGCAAGGGGGCTGGGCCTTTATACTCCTACATCAACTAGTCAAAGGCTGTGGCTTTCTCTGGGGAAATCAGGTGTGATGCACCAGGCAGGTAGCTCTCTTCAGCCAAAGGGAATTCCCAAAGAGGAACTCTGCTGAGAGCTGTCAGCCAGCAGCACCCAGCAGATGGGGGAGGAGGGGAGATAGGCGCTTCAGTCCTAAATGAAAACCCGGATTATTCACAGCATCATCTATTATAAGGGCAATGGTTAAAAGTTGAAAAAAGCCTTGTCTCAGCACCTTAAATATGCTGAGAGGACTCTTCCTGACCCCTAGATGAGGACTGTGGCATAGTGGACCCATTATCTAAAAGTGGTGGGGGTCTGACACTTCTCTTTATCATTGCTTGCCAAGAATGGAACCTGACATATGAATGAACGCCCCAAAAGGAAATAAAACATTTTTAACCCTCTATTTGTGCTAATGCCTATCCTTTCAGTGTCTCTTGGCCTGCATGACAAGGGAAGGAAGCTGAGGAAAAGTGCACTTAAAAGAAAATTTTCCATGTCTGCAATAAGAAAGTGAGGAGAAGGAGCCTCATAATTAGTAGGCAAGAAGCAGATTGGGGTAAAATTGTCCAAGAGGTAGCAAAATCATCTCTATCAGGCCTCCATTAATGTTGAGAAGTTCAATACCACCTGAGAACACTATGGTATCAGCCTTGCTCTGGCTGCCACCTCCATAGTACCAATGTCTCCAGGTTTATGACATAACACCAGAAGAATCTGTCTATAATCCAATAATAATATATTTCATAGACCATGGATTTAGAGCTCAGTGAGTCAAACGAAGTGAAATGTCAGAATGCAAAAACTTTCCAGTGAAGAAAATGGGTCAAAGGCAAAATGAAGACCATGACTCTGAGAAAAGTTAATTTTTATATGGCCTCAGTCACTACATGGTGAATTTCTTTAGAGAACAAGCCTCACTTAGGGTAGGGGGTTGCTGAGGGGGAGCCAGAGAAATAGACATGAAGAAGTGAGAGGGAGGAAAATTTCCATTTTCCTCATTGATTAAAGTCTGTCATCAATGCCCCTTGGGATTCATTCAATTCTTGCCATCCTTATGAAAAGTCATTTAAAACATATATGAAACAAAAAGAACAAAGAAAAAAAAGCACATATAAGTGAAATAAGCCAGGCACAGAAAGACAACTACCACATGATCTCACTTACACATGGAATCTTAAGTCGAACTCATACAGAGTAGAATGGTAGTTGCCAGGGGATGAGGGTGGGGGTGTGGAAAAAGGGGAAACATGAGGGTGGGGATGTGGAAAAAGGGTCAAAGGGTTCCAATTTTCAGTTAGAAGGAATACGACTTAGTGATCTATTGCAAAATATGATGACCAGAATTAATGTATTGTATATTTCAAAATTACTAGAAAAGAAGACTTTAAATGTTTTCACCACAAAAAATAAGTAGGTAAAGTGTTGGATATGTTAATTAGCTTGATTTAATCTTTCTATAACGTATAAATAGATCAAAACATCACATTGTCCCCCCTAAATATTTACAATTATTATTTGTCAATTTAAATAAATAAATAAAGGCAAACCTAAATCTATAAATTAAAAATAAAAAAGTTAATTTGTTAGTTTTTTATGAACCTAGTATAAATAACAGAAAGGAACAATGAAACAGACGTGACTTAGACAAGGGAACTAAGGAGAAAACCAGAAGACAAGACAAAAATAGTAATAATAATAAATAACTCTAATTTTTAAAAATAGAATATATATATATATATATATATATATATATATATATATATATATATATGAATGATTATAAAACTGAGATCCAGTGAGAAAAGTATGGTATGACTAAATAAAACTTCAACCTTTTTAGGTAAAAGCTGCAGTTAAAAATTAGCAAAAAGAAAAGGAGAAATCTGGCTAGACTGTGTCAGAGGAAAGTGCTAGGACAAGTCCCGGGGCTGGAGCTGCATTCTACTCAGGCAGCTGTAGAAATGTGCCCGAGAGGGACTGAGATTCCAGGAAGCCTGTATTGTGACCAGGCTGGAAAGCAGACACTATATGAAGTATTTTAATGGAAAGGATTTAATGCAGAGAATTGAACTGTTTGTTGCCAGAGAACTGAAAAGAAAAACAGGAGAAACTGACGCAGTTACCCACTACTACATAAGAGGTTAAGGTTATTGGAATCTAAAGGTTTAGAGGAGCCCTGTGGAATACGGACTCAGACATCCAAGGTAGGGGCACTGCCCAGCCTGGTCATGGTATCTCTGAGGGATACAACGACGCTAGTTCTGGGAATGTAGCAATACTGGAACCAACTGCAACTATCAGGGTGAAGAACCATTGCTGTCCTGATACCGACTGATGGGACCAGAGTTGGACAGAAAGGAGCAGGTCCCTTCTCCTCCTTCTAACCTTGACATCTCTCTCTAGGGTTCCCTATAGGCAGAGCCTAACACGGCATCAGCTGGCAAAGGTTTGCAAAATCCCAGCCTCAGCATGATAAAGCACAGTGCTGTCCATTCTGGTTGCCACTAGCCACAAGTAGCTATTTGACTTTCAATTTAAACACATGGAAATTGAATAAAACAAAAAATTTAGTTCCTCAGTTGCATTAGCCACATTTGAAGGGCTCAAGAGCCACATGTGGCCAGTGGCTACCATATTAGAAAGCACAGCTGTAGGGAATAGAGTGGCCCTAAATCACATAAGAAGGAACTCAGATCATCTTGGAAATTTTCACCTTCTATGTTGTATCTGCAGACCCAGGGAAACCATCCCTACCCCAGCAAAGGTGATCTTTCTTCAAACAAATAACAGTATCATGTCATTAAAAAAGAACTTTTCTTCAATATGATGATGGTAGTGATGGTGGCAATATTTATTTCAGTATGTACATTTAGAGTCAGGTCCTATCCTATGTAAAACACTTTGATTTCATTATCTTATTTAATACCACAACACTATAAGCTCAGTACTTTTTCTTATCCCATCTTACTGATGTAAAACCTGAAAATTAGAGGGGGTAAGGAACTTGTCAAAGCCAAACAGTGAACTCTAGTGCCCTTGACTTAACTGCTGGGGTATATTGTCTCAGGTTGTCAAAGGGACCCCATGCTTTCACAAGGAAGAGATTTTATTTGCCTGCCATTATTCAGTAGAATGTTATTTTCTCAGAAAGAATAAATTGGACAAAGAAAGCCAACAATTAGGCCAGTACGGTGGCTCACACCTGTAATCCCAGCACTTTGAGGGGCCAAGGCAGGAGAACTGCTTAAGACTAGGAGTTTAAGACCAGCCTGGCAACATAGCAAGACCTCCCTCTACAAAAAATAATAAAAATAATAACAAATTAAGAAAAGCCAACAATTAATGACACTTAATAATATAAGAATTATAACAATGAAAGTAATTTCAGTTTAATAAAATTGACTCCCAACAGACAACCCAGCAGGGAGGAATAAGGGTTGTCTTTCTGCTTTTATGATGAGTCGTCATGCTCCCTCACACTCAGTGTTTGGAAATGGCTTGGATTAAGTCCTTCACCTTTCAGTTTATGATGTTTGCAAGATGACTGCTTATTATATGAGTGATGATTAGAGCTCCTTGTGCCATTTTCTGTAGCATTGACACTGCAGTTATTTATGTCATGCTAATCAGAGGTAACATGGTGAAGACATGGTAGGGTCAATCATTAGTCTGGTGATACTGGAATAGTTACTAAATTCCTCTAAGCCTCAGATTCCTTACATTGTAGGGATATCATGAGGATTAGATTAGATCAAGAATATATGTAAACAATCTAAAACATTCTTTGACAGGTAGAATTGTGCTATTATTAATGCATATTAAGTGACAATCTAATAGATGGAATAGGAGACAGAAACAATTATTTCTTATAAGAATGTATGCATTCCTCTGTTCACTCAACAAATGCTTACTGAATGCCTGCTATGTGGCAGGTACTATTCTAGGTTCTTGGGATATACCAGTGAATACAGCAGACCAAAATCCCTGCCATTATGGAGCTAACATTGTATCTATTTAGGACTCATTCTATGAAAGACATAACCCCATTTGTCACAAATATAAATGGGAATCTTCCCTGTCCTTAAGAAATTTATATTCCATTACCTTGAAAGCTTGTAAAACACCCTCTGAAAGGAACAACAAATATTTCATTGTTAACTAATGAAATATTCCTGGCAACAGGAATTAAGTGTGTGGTGGGAAAAATGCTAATTTAGAGATCAGAGAATCTAGGTTCTAGCCACATCTCTGTGTTTAACTTCTTGTAATTATCAATTTATACTCTCTGAGCTTCAGTTTTCTCACCTGCCAATATGGGAGTAGAATCTCAACAGCATTTTCAGTGATAGTTATATTTTTTATATGTCTACTATAATCATGCTAGCAAGACAGGTTAAATTTATGGAGACTAGAAAAATATACTTTCTCATATTTCATATCATAACTTCAGGTACTACTATCATGTTGAGATGCAGCCTTATGGGCGATCACATAGTTGTCCTACTGAATTGAGATGCAACCTTATGGAGGGAGGATCAGTTAGTTTTCCTGCTGAAAAACAAAGGCAGACTGTTTAGAGTGTTGCAAAAGCAGAGTCTGAAACAAGGAAATAATCCCACAAGAGTGTTGGTCATTTGATTGAGTAGGGATCCCAAGAAGTTGTACTAAGAGAAAAGGACCAGTGAGATAGAGGAGAAAGCCAAAATTGGGATGGTTAGTGGGGTGGGGGTTGTAGCAATTAGGACTCAGTCGCACCAGGACTTCTGAGAAAAGACAGAATACCTCCTAGAATTGCCCAACCAAAGGAGAAGAGGCTAGTACATTCTCCACTGGATCCCATCCCTGATTAATTGAGGTTTATCCCCCAAAATGCCAACAACCTCACTTTCTAAGGCCAACTGGTCCCCACAGCTTTAGCTTTGAGAAGACCATGAGAAAAAAAAAAGCAAGGCGTGAATTTAAGGTATGACACTGTTATGTGTTGAAGTATGTCTCCTCAAACTTCAAATGTTGAAACCTAATCCTATCTCAGAATGTGACCATATTTGAAAACAGGGTCTTTACAGAAGTAATCAAGTTAAAAATGAGGTCATTATGGTTGGTCCTAATCCAATATGACTGGTGTCCTTATAAAAGAGGAAAATTTGGATGCACGCATGTACACAAGGAGAATGTCATGTGAAGATTGGAGTTATGCTGCCACAACCCAAGGAACTAGAAATTGGGAGAGAGGACTAGAACAGACCCTTCCCTAGCACCTCTGGAGGGAGTGCAGGCTGCTGACACCTTGATCTTGGATGTCCAGCTTCCAGACTGGTGATGATAAATTGCTGCTGAGTAAGTCACTCCGTTTGTGGTACTTTGTAACAACAGCTCTAGCAAACTAATACAGACACTGCTGTGTGAAATCTGAGCATGGGAAGAACTGAGCAACACAGCTATGGCTGATATTACAGGCAGGCAAGGGAGGTGACACTGACACAAGCACTAAAGACATCTGCTACAGAGCTCATAGACTGTGGACATACTGAGGTGACAGATTAGCCTCTTGTTTCTCAGTTCTCCCTAAAGAAAGGGAATGCAAATGGAATACAAATGCAATGGCTAGAACTATAACCTACACTGTCATAGGGTTTGTTCTCTATGTTCATTATATTTGAAGCAATGATAAACCCTCCTATTCTTCTCTCAGTTGTTAATATACCTTTTCTTCCCAAGGCAGCCATTAAGATCCCATGTCCTTTTTTATATGAAGCAATTACATTTGTTAACACATTTGAAAGGGGGACATTTTAACAGCTTGATCTCCAGAACAGCCTCCATTTCTTTTAGGGTAAGAATGACAAAAACAAAAAGATGGATGACAACTGTGTCATACCTAAAAATCTTACATTTATATTCATAATCTTTTACATTGGAAAAGCTTTAAAAGTTATAATGAATTCACTAAAAATGTATGATAGAACTGCCAAGAACATCGGGAGCATTAGTTTTTGCCTGAAATTTAAGATTCTTTAACTGGGTCAGGAATATCTTGCTAAGAGCACTCCTCTCAGACACTGTCATTTTGTACTTTCCTTCCAAAAACATCAATCTCAAAAGAGATATGTGCACAAATTAATGAGAGGATTTTTTTCAAGATGCTGAATAAATTTGATCTGAAAAAAGAGCAAGGCTCTCCATTGACGCCTTTCTCATGCCCTACTTTGGTTAGAACCTGACTTTCCCTCCCCACCTGGCTGAGCTGTCCCTCCTCGAAGTGAAGCAATTTCCTGGTATGAATATAGATGTTAAACCCTGCTGGCCAAGTGGAAGCAGAGGCAGTGTTTCAAAATCAATGCACCATTAAAAAAAATCAATATATTCAATTCAAAAATTCAATATATTGTCTTATTTTAAAAGGAGTCAAGAATTAAAAACACAAAAAGTAGGTTGGAAGTAACCCAGATATTTTGTCTTACATAATATTTTCACTTATAATACTGTAAATTTAAAAAGAAAATGTGCCATATTTATATTGTAGGAGAAGAAATGTAAAGAGTTGCCTTTTTCTAACACACTTTCTCATGTATATAGAAATACATTCTAAAATACATTGTAAGACAATTTTTTTCTTCCCTTTCACAAAATTTCCAAAGTAGAAGGCAACCGAGGGCATTAGTTGTATTTCACGGTAGACAAGTTACCATCATTCTTTAGAGGAGATTTTATTATGATATCTGACTTATTTCTTTATATATTCTCCTTATCATGTTTTCAATTTATAGTTTTTTACTATCCCAGGCCAAACATAACATAAAATAAAATTAGAGGAATTTGTAGCTAATTCTACATTTCCAAATGAATTATTCAATTACAAGTTTCATTGGTGTTTTAGTGGGTTATGACTTAATCAATTCTTCTTCCATATTTACCTAATGGAATTTATCTTTATTTCAATAAGCCAAGCAATTGAATTTTTTGAAGGAAATAAATCAATGTATGTTTCTTAACATGTAAAATTTCTCACTGATATGTAAAAAATTTAAGTCTTTAAATTTAGATTAAAAACCCATAATATATTGAGCCATAAAAAGAGATGAAGTATTGACACATGCTATAACATGAATGAACATTGAAAACATTATGCTAAGTGAAAGAAGCCAATTATAAAAGACCAGATATTGTATGGTTCCATTAATATGAAATGTCTAGAGTTAGCAAATGTGTAGTAGATTGGCAGCTGCTTAGCAGTATAAGCTAAAGGGTATAGGGTTTCTTTAGGGGCAATGAAAATATTCTAAAATTGGTTGTAGTAATGGCTGCACAACTCTGTGAATATACTTAAAACCATAGAATTGTATACTCTAAATGGGTGAATTGTATGGTATGTGAATTATATCTCAATAAAGCTGTTACGAAAAAAAGATCAAATTTTCAAAATCCAATAGCAATATTTTCTGTGTCAGTGAGCAAGAAATTCAATTAATCTCTAACTCTGTAATGTCTTAAGCTGTTCATTCACTAAACAGAAATCAAATACTGAGTTAACACGCGTAGAGAGAGGACAAGGATGAAACTCCCATCTTGAGTTGAACACAGAAGCCAGGCAAAGTGGAGTGTGATTTTTCTTTTTTAAAGTAGTGCTATATAAAATATGCTTTGCAATTATAGAGGAAGAGGTGGTAACTTGTATTTCAGTGAGTCAGGAGTCAGAAGGGGCATGGAAGAAACAATATTTGGGTTGAAGAAGGAGATGGAATGGGAAGTATGGAAGGGCAGGAGATGAGAGGACAGCAGTTATTTATGGGTAATGAGGTTACAACGTGAGTTTAGGCCAGAACATGGAAGATTTCATATGTCCTGCTAAATTTGCTCTTATTTGTTTGTTTGTCTGGTTTTTTGTTTGTTTGTTTGTTTTTTGTAGGCTCTAGGACACTGTTACAAATGTGTCTTGTATGTAAGCAGATACTTACATACTTTTACATACAGCTAGGTAATGGTCCAGGTTGAAGAGTCAAAGACAGCCCCAGCCAAGGCAGTAGATGTGGAGAGGAGGAGAGCTTTGATTTTTAACGTATCTTAGAGGCAGAATCAACAGAGTTTGTTAACTGACAGATCCTGGGGATGAAGACTGAAGGAAAGAATGATGAAAGATGGAAGATGATGCAAAAGTTTTTATGTTGGGTGGCTGTGATGTTGCTATTAAACTATAGAACACCAGAGGGGAAAGGATGAAAGGTAAAATAATGAGTTGAGTCACTATGTTGAAAATGAGATGACTTTGAGATATGCAGTTGGAATCATGGGTTTGAATTAAAGGGAAAATTGGAGCTACATATATTTTGGAAGTCATCATGAATATGGAAGACAATTAAACTGCCAACATAATAAATGTTTTTCAAAATTATTTCATTTAATGTCCATGGCAACTCTGAGCTGTACATTATTTTTACTGATGAAAACCCTGAGAGATTCTGGGAGATTAAGTAACTTTCCAGAAGCCACATAGCTAGTAAGCTGCAGAGCCAGGATTCAACTAACTCTCACTAAATGTGAAGCCTATGCTTTTCCCTCTGTGTCTTGCTGATCTTTTCTAAGTCACACAGTCATTGCAGTAGGTGGGCTCATCCAGAAAAAGTCTGTAGAGTGGGGAGAGAATAGGCACAATATTGGGTGTGATGGAAAAATCCAATGTAGCTTGTTTGTAGTTTATATTCCAAAAGGGGAAGGTAATAAAAGGTGCGACTGAGAAGGACCATAGCCACTCTGCTATAGTGATGCTTTCACCTGACAATAGCTGTTACTTGGCTTCCCAGAAAACATTTCATTAGGCTCTTTGAGTGAACATGCCTTTTTGACTCTACAGAATAAAGAGAATTGAGAAGTCAAGAACACTTAGGCAGCAATAAGAGAAAGGGTGTCCTGGATTGCCAGCTTTTCAATTTCAACACAATGCTTTAAAGGCTGTCAAGTGGTCATTAGGTAGCCAAATTGGTAGCTGACCACCAGTCAGATACATCTCTCTTTTAAATCTAGTACATTTGTTTGATCCTTCTACTACATCTCTGGAGAAAAGGCTTTAATTTTCATCTTAGTTTTTCATTTCAACAAAACGAAATACAAATTTTGGGGTAGACACTAGCAAACAGTAACTATATTCCATTAAATGTTGAAATGTTTTCAAAATTAATGCATTCACTCATATATTTAATGCACTTTCATTGACAATACACTGCCCTTGCCTTCTAGAAGACTACAGTTTAGCTGCAGAGAGAAGCCAGTCTTTAATGGTCTTAAATCATGAGTAGTTTTAATGAGAAGCAGCCAGAAGAGAGGAAAAGGGTGAAGATGCAGACCAGCCCTTGAGGAGAGAGGGTGTGATGCACAGCACAGGTGAAAAGATTCACCTATGAAAAGGGGACATGACTCTTCAAATGTAACAGCTAGAGGAGAAGAAAGATTGCGTGCAAATGCAATTGGATGACAAGACAATTGAGAGAATTTCTGTTTAATGACTTCTATTATTTTTCCTGTGAAATTTTCTTCTGAAAATCAAGGGGAAAGTTTCAAACAAGCAGAGATATTTAGAACAATATTATGTCCCAAACACAAAGATGTCTACACCATAAACACAAGAGAACAGAATTACCGGAGCTGGAAAGGCAATTCTGAGTGCACAGAAGAAAGAGACATCAATGCAATATGATCCAGCCATACAGCTTGCTGATAGAGGGTTTGATGGGACATGAGTATGAAACTGGAAAATATTAAGGAGTAAAAAAGAGGTAGCACTACAGATCTGTTGCTTCAGCTAGACATTTGATAGGTGCCTTATAATACAAATAAGTGGTTAAGATCCCTTTGAGTGCCTAAAAGGCAGATATTTCATGATTTTTATTGACAGAAGACTAAGGCCATGGTCCTTAAGCTTGGCTACATGTTGGAATCACCTATGGTTGTAGTAACCTATGGCTGTGTAACCAATTGCCACAAAACTTGGTAGCTTAAAACAATGAGCACTTACTGTCTCACATACTTTCTGTGGGTCAGGAATTTAGAAGTAGCTTAGCTGGGAGTTCTGGCTCAGCATCTCTTGCACATTGGCAATCAAGATGTCAGTTCAGGCTTTAGTCATCTGAAGGCTTGACTGGGGTTTCCAACGTGGCTGTTGGTAGAAAGCTGTATTAGTCAGAGTTCTCCAGAAAAACAGAACCAATAGGATATATGTGTATGTATACACACACACACACACACACACATAGGATATACATATATCCTATTGGTTGGTTTTATATATTTTTTCCTATTGATTCTATATATATAACACATATAATAGATTATATATATAACATATATTATATATATAACATATATAATATATAACATATATAATCTATTATATATGTTATATATAATAAATTATATGTTATATATTATATAATATATATGTTACATATTATATATTATATATGTTACATAATATATATTATATATATTGCTGGAAAGGCAATTCTAAGTGCATATATACACACACACACACACACACACGTCTATATATACACACACACACACACACACACACATATACACAGAGAGAGAGAGAGAGATTTATTATAAGGAACTGGCTCATTTACATGATTATCGAAGCTGAGTAGTCCCAAGATCTGCAGTCAGCAAGCTGGAGATCCAGGAGAGCCAATGATATAGTTCCAGTCCAAGTCTGAAGACCTGAGAACCAGGAGAGCTGGTGGTGTTGATTCCAGCCCAAAAGCTGGCAGTTGGAGTTCTAAGGTCGGAAAAGACCAATGTTTCACTTCAAGTAGTCAGGCAGAAGTAGTTCCATCTTACTCAGCCTTTTTGTTCTGTTTAGGTCTTCAATCAATCAGATGAGGCCCACCCACATTAGGAGGGCAATCTGCTTTACTCAGCCTACTGATTCAAATGTTAATCTCATCTGAAAATACTCTCACATACACACAGAGAATAATGTATGACCAAATATCTGGCCTAGTCAAGTTGACACATAAAATTAACCATCACAAAGACCTCAATTCCTTGCTGGCTGTTAGCAGGAGGCCTCAGATCTTTGCAAGGTAGGACTCTTCCTAGGGCTGCTTGAGTGTCCTCATGGCAGGTTGGCTGGCTTTCCCCAAAACATGTGATCTAAAAAAGAAAACCAAATAGAAGTCTCAATATGTTTTGCGACCAAGTTTTGGAAATCACACACAGTCACTACCATATTCTCATGTTAGAAACAAGTCACTAGGCTGAGCACATGGCTCACGCCTGTAATCCCAGCACTTAGGGAGGCTGAAGTGGGTGGATCACCTGATGTCAGGAGTTCGAGACCAGCCTGGCCAACATGATGAAACCCCATCTCTACTAAAAATATAAAAATTAGCCAGGTGTGCTGGTGTGCACCTGTGGTCCCAGCTACTCAGGAGGCTGAGACAGGAGAATTGCTTGAACCTGGGAGGAGGAGGTTGCAGTGAGCCAAGACCGCACCCCTGTACTCCAGCCTGGGTAACAGAGTGAGATTCCATTAAAAAAAAAAAAAGAGAGAGAGAGAGAGAGAGAAAGAAATAAGTCATTAAATCTAACCCACTCTCAAAGAGGGGGGAGTTAAGTTTTGCTTCTTGAAGAAAGGAATATCAAAGAATTTGTGGATATATTTTAAAACCACATCTCGGGAGCTTAAAAAAATACTTATACTGGCTACCACCCCTAGCCTTTTTGACTTGGTATGTGATGAGTAAAAGCTCCCTAGGTGATTCTAATGGGTAGCCAAGTGTTTCCTCTATCATATGCATCCACTCTTGTGTCTCTTATAACTCTAAGACCTTAGCAAGCAAGCACACAGCCCTGTGATGGGCAATTTGTCAGCCTTAATGTTATACCATATCATGCAAGCGGGTGTGAAAACTTCCTATGATAAAAAACTCAGTATCATTAAAGAACTTTATAAAATTCAAAATGCTTTTCTTTCCTGTTTTGTTTTTGTTTTTTTTTTGTTTTTGTTTTTGTTTTTTTTGAGACAGAGACTCACTCTGTTGCTCAGGCTGGAATGCGGTGGCGTGATCTTGGTGGCGCAATCTTGGCTCACTGCAAGCTCCGCCTCCCAGGTTCACGCCATTCTCTTGCCTCAGCCTCCCAAGTAGCTGGGACTACAGGCACCTGCCACCACACCTGGCTAATTTTTTGTATTTTTAGTAGAGACGGGGTTTCACCGTGTTAGCCAGGATGATCTCGATCTCCTGACATCGTGATCCACCCGCCTCGGCCTCCCAAAGTGCTGGGATTACAGGCGTGAGCCACCGTGCCCAGCCTTCAAAATGCTTTTCTTAACACAAAGAAATAAGCAATATGTTTTACAGAGAGGTATGATACCCAAAAGGAGAGTATTTAATACACTGCATTTTCAAAATCATATGTAGTCTAAAACAAAGATATAAAATAAAACAAATACAAGAGACTTCTGGCTAAGTATGAAGTCAAAAACTTATAAATAAAAGCATAAATCATGAATATTTTGAGCCTATAAAGGATCAGATGCTTGATAATTCATGACAGAACGTGATCAAGTCTGACTTTGGGAGTGTGACGGTTAGGGTTTTCTTGTCAACTTGGCTAGGCTATAGTAACCAGTTATTTAATCAAACACCAATTTAGATACTGATGTAAAGGTATTTTGTAGATATGATTAAGAGAATAGAAAATTCCAGGCAGCAGTTTCACATGACAAAAAGGAAACTGGTGAAATTGCTGCATAAGCTAAGGGCCAATAAGATCCTAAAAAACAGGATGTGGACCATGCTGGCTGGACTGACTGGACCGAATATGGCACTAGAAATGACCTAGGTTTCACCCAGAACCTCATTATATGCTCATTAACATACTAAACCACATACCTGCCAGCACCATGACTGTTCCAGGAACATTCATATTTGGTGCAAAAATGAGTGGCACCACAGTTCTGAGAAATCTTAATGTTTTTCCAGAAATGTTCATGATTATTCCACCCCGTGGTTAAAGAAACCCATAAAGATAGAAACCCCAAACACTGTTGGTGCAACTCACTCTCTTGAGTACTCACACTCCCCTTTCTTGAGTGTGTACTTTTGCTTTGCAAAAAATCTCCACACTTTCACTATTTTCTGACTTATCTTTAAATTCCTTCTCGCAAAGTTGTCAAGGGCCCAGACACTGGCCAGGGTTGAAGTCCTACCAGTGTTTGGGGACCTCCTCTAGCCCACCAGTATCATTAAGATATACAGATATACAGGTATAGATACAGATCTGTATGTATTCTATTAGTTCTGTTTCGCTGGCAAACCCTGACTGATACAGATCTTGGTATTGGGAAGTGAGGTGCTGCTGTAACAAATATCTAAAAATGTGGAAGTGGCTTTGGAATTGAGTAATGAGTAGAAGCTGAAAGAATTTTGAAGAGCTTGATAGAAAAAGCCTAGATTGCCTTGAAGAGATGGTTGATGGTAATATAGACGTTAAAGGTGACAGGGTTCAGAGGGAAGTGAGGAGCACAGTAGAGAAAGCTTCTATCAAATCAGAATACATGTATCATCATGAACAGAATACTAGTAGAAATATAAATGTTAAAGGTACTTCTGATAAGACCTCAGACAGAAAATGTTGTTGGACACTGAAAGAAAGGTGATCTTTATTATAAAGTGGCAGAGAATGTGGCTGAATTGTATTCTAGTGTTTTTTGGGAAATAGAATTTGTAAGTAATGAACTTGGATATCTAACTGAGGAGATTTCCAAGCAAAGTATGGTAAGTGTTGTCTAGTTTCTCCTTGCTGCTTATAGCAAGACTCTAGAAGAAAGAGATAAATTGAGGAGAGAATTGTTATGTAAAAAGGAACCAGAACTTGATGATCTGGAAAATCCTCAGTCTATTCAGATAACAGCAAAATGTGAGAGAGTATGCTCTGGAAAGAACATCAACGGTGTGACTAGACAACCATTTGGTAAAGAGATTATGGATCCAATCAACCATCTCAGCAGCAGCCACGGATATTGATAGAGGTATACAGGAAGGATCTATGAAGAACACTCATGTCTAATGGCTCAGAACCCTGTGACTTTCATGGAAGGCCGACAAACTGTTGAAAATTTTAGACCAGTAGAAACACTGTTAAACTGAGAGGGACAGACAGGAGAATGCCATGTGAATACAGCAACACACAGAATGTCATGTGAAGACAGAGGCAGAGATTGGAATGATGCATCTACAAGCTAAGGAAAGCCAAAAATTGCCAGCAACCGCCACAAGTTAGGAAGACACAAGAAAAAATCCTCTAGAGCTTTCAGAGAGAGAGAGAGAGAATGGCTTTACCAGTACCATGACTTTAGACTTCTAGCTTCCAGAAAGGCGAGAGACTAAATTTCTATTGTTTTAAACCACGCAGTTTGTGGTACTTTGTTACAGCAACCCTAGGAAACTAATACAGGAGGTATCAAAAACACATATTGACTAGCTGAAGTTTCCTCTTGTACGGAACCCACATGTATTCTGTACCTGCTTGGGGAACAGCAGATAAACATTTTAATAAACATTAGACTACATTAATTAAATAATTTAATTGCATGATTTCATTTAAAACATGGCTTAAGATATTTTGAAAGTTATAGTACTTGTCATTTTGGTCTGTTTGCATCTTCCTTGATCTCCAATTTCCTCATTTCCCCTCTGGCATGATTGCAAAAATACAATATTTTTGTATGTGAAATCCAATGAAATAAGCAACAGTGTTCTTTTGACAAACACCACTGCTCATTAGTAAGTAATCTGAATTCTGCTTGGGCTTTGTTTACATGCTGAGCTGATAATTGTCAGTCATTTTGATATGCACAGTGAACGACCATAGCAGTAGAAATTACCGAAGCAGAAGCAGAAGCAGAAGCAGAAGCACCACATTGATTAGATTGACCGTGGGCGTGGCTGCTGGAAGCATTCTCAAATGGTGGTGCCATGGCATGGGCTTCCAAATCCCTGTGACCTAAGTAGCTGGGACCTAACGGTCATCAATGGTTCCAGTCTCTGAGTTCATGTTCTGTTAATCAGGCAAATTTTTTCAGCTCTTGGAAGAGTCAGGATTTGGCTACATTGCACTCTTCTTTCAGGTCTTTAAAATGCAAGGAATTCTATTCATCAGCTGATACTGATCTCACCAACCATTAATCACTTCCTCCCACAAACAGTTGTTTCTTGTTAGGGCCTCTGGGGATGTGGCCCATCTTCAGCCACATACAACCAAGCACCTGAGTGAAAGGAAGGCCGCTTAGACAACAGGATTCCTCAAACTACAGGTCATTACCCATTGGTGAGTTGTGAAATCATTTGATGGGTTATAAACAGATTTTTCTTAAAAAACAAAATAGAATAGGATAGATTAAATGGAATAGAAAATATCAGAATGTGTGTCATGTAGTAAAGTGTTTCATAAACTTTTTTCCATTTATTGATTTTACCGTGTGTGCATGTGTGTGTGTGTACTGGGTCATGACAAAATCCTATATCCTTCTGGGGATCGTGTTTTTCAAAGTTTGAAAAACATAGCTCTAGGGCATGATCATTAGCTCAAAATTCCCTTCAGTTTAAAAATGACCACTGGCCCCTTATACAGTTCATGTAGCCACCCTTCTATTTATTCTTATTAACACCATGTCCTCAGGCCATGAGGACTGAGGACTGCCAGAAACAATGAATTTCAAAGACTCTAGTCCCGAGAAAACATAAACAAATGGGCAAAATGGACAATAAGAAGCGCTCTGTGACTTAGTCTCCTTTAAGAGCCTTATGATTTCCTTGAAACCTTGGGACTGTGGTCACATGATTTATCTTCCTCCCTTTGCTGTAGCAAGTTTAGATACTAAAGATACATGAATCATGGCTCCTTATGGTGCTCCCTGATGGATTGTGAAGATAAACATTACAGATAATATCATTCGAGGCAATGTTTTAAGTGGTGTTGAGGGTGGGGTTAAGGAAAACAAGGTAGGCTGCTACCAAGGATAAGATGTTCTTAAAAGACAACTAGGAGTTTGCCAGTCAGACAAGGGGGAGGAAGGGCACTTCAGGTAGAGAAAAAAATATATATGCAGGGTACATGAAATGAATGCCAACTCCATAAAACTTGGTGTATTATAGGATGGCATGGCATCATATGATGCAGCTGAAATGTTGGGTCACACAGCAGAATGGTGGACCATGGGTAAAGAGGGAAGGCAGAGACCAAATTACAGAGGGAAAGCCTTGGAAGCTATATTAAAGAGTTCAGACATTATTCTGTAGTTATGGGAAACCACTGAGGGGTCTAAACTTCTAATAAAGTAATCAGATTTGCAATATAGAAAGATCATTTTCTAAGGACAGCTGAGTCAATTGCTGGGAGCAGGGGTGGTAAGCTGACTGGAGGCAGGAAAATTCAATGGGACACTATTAGTGCCACAGATCAGATGAGATATGGTGGGGACCTAAGGAAAGTGCAGGGAAAGCAGAGGAAGGAATGAAAATAAGAGATTTTTAGAGATGAAAATTTTAAAAATTGAAAATTGGTGAAGAAGCCAAAGTCTTGGATAACCCCCGATGCTTCTTGATTGAGTGGTTGGATGGGTGGTGGACAGGAATATGGGAAGAGAAATAACATATGAGGACAGATGAGTTCAGTTTGGCCCAGATTGAATTAATGTGCCTATAGGATGTCCAGGTGAATTAGGATGTTGGACACTTGGATCTGGCATTCCCTTTCTTTTGTTTTGTAAGCTGAAGTGCAATCAAACAATCCAAGAAATGCACAGGCCTTCAGTCAATAAATTCTTTCCTTTAAAGTCATCAGGCTATGATTTCTACCATGTTCTTTTGAAATGAATTTCAGACAGAGAAAGTGTCAATATGCATGGAATACAAGACATTCTGAAAAAATTAGAGCACAAATGCTGGTATCTTCAGATCTTAGGTAGTGCTAAAACTTGAACAAATTCTTGTCATTCCAGTATATGACAATCAAGTTTCATTATGAGAGCCAAGATGTTTGCATGGGTGGAGAAGAGTTAACCAGGGTCCTGATCTCACAAATTTGTCTCTAACTCCAAGAAACCAACCAGTTTGTATACACAAAAAGAACTGGTTATGAACAATCCAGGCTCAAGTTCTCCCAAAGGGAATGATTTTTATTACTAGGGACAAGGTGTATAGATCAACCAGGGATTTCAAGACCTGTATGTTGATTAGCCACAGGCATGTACTGTGCTGGGGCAAAGCAGAGATGCTACTTGGATTTCAGCCATAAACTTGGCATCAGCAAATGCTATTGCAGAATAAGGCTTCAGTTTAATCTATTATCTTAAAAAAACTCAGGAATTCCTTTGCCACTCAGTATTTTTAAATGATCCCCATGTGTTTCTTCACCAATGAAGAAATTACATTTCGAAATGCCTTTTGAAGGGAAATTACCTAATAACAGCTCCTTGGGTGTGTATGTCTGTGTGTGGAAGGGGAGGGAGATTAAGGAGGAGAAGAAACTCCTGCCAACTTTTTTCTTTCTTTCTTTCTTTTTCTGGTTGGGGGAGGAGCATCACGTAGACATCAGAAACGTTAAAATGAGGAAAATTACCAACAAATTTACAAGAAAAAAACACACAACCCCATCAAAAAGTGGGCAAAGGATATGAACAGACACTTCTCAAAAGAAGACATCTATGCAGCCAACAGACACATGAAAAAATGCTCATCATCACTGGCCACCAGAGAAATGCAAATCAAAACCACAATGAGATACCATCTCACACCAGTTAGAATGGCAATCATTAAAAAGTCAGGAAACAATAGGTGCTGGAGAGGATGTGGAGAAATAGGAACACTTTTACACTGTTGGTGGGACTGTAAACTAGTTCAACCATTGTGGAAGACAGTGTGGCGATTCCTCAAGGATCTAGAACTAGAAATACTATTTGACCCAGCCATCCCATTACTGGGTATATACCCAAAGGACTATAAATCATGCTGCTATAAAGACACATGCACACATATGTTTATTGCGGCACTATTCACAATAGCAAAGACTTGGAACCAAGCCAAATGTCCAACAATGATAGACTGGATTAAGAAAATGTGGCACATATACACCATGGAATACTATGCAGCCATAAAAAAGGATGAGTTCATGTCCTTTGTAGGGACAAGGAGGAAGCTGGAAACCATCATTCTCAGCAAACTATCGCAAGGACAGAAAACCAAACACCGCATGTTCTCACTCATAGGTGGGAATTGAACAATGAGAACACATGGACACAGGAAGGGGAACATCACACACCAGGGCCTGTTGTGGGGTGAGGGGAGCGGGGAGGGATAGCATTTGGAGATATACCTAATGTTAAATGATGAGTTACTGGGTGCAGCACACCAACATGGCACATGTATACATATGTAACTAACCTGCACGTTGTGCACATGTACCCTAAAACTTAAAGTATAATAAAAAAATAAAAATAAAAATAAAAAAGTTAAAAAAAATGAGGAAAATTAAAGTGACAGAAGTGAAAACTTAGTACATCTTCTACCTTCAAATGCCATGCTTGTTTTCTACCCATAGCAGATAGACATAATAAAGATATAATTCTGCTGATATGGATTATATTTCATCCTCTTCCAAATTTATTACCTGAATCCCTTCGTAGATTCTTAAAGACCTAACCTGCCTCTGCCAATTTTCACAGGCTGCCTTGTACAAATACAGCAAATTCCATAAGCTAAGGCCTGCTTCTCAGCTCTACCACTTAACAGAACTAAGAAATCAAAGGCTGTAGTTTGGCAAATGAACTAAACTTACGTTTCCCTAATCTACACCTCCAGTCCTGATACCACCCAAGCTCCAGTCCTGATTTTTCAGTGGCTTTTGGATATGTCCCCTGTACGTCACTCTGTCGCCTCAAACTCCACATGCCTCAATTGTATTTATCATCTCCTCCTTCTCATGCTACTAGACACCACCACTTCTCCCTGAGCCCACCATTCCTGACTTCTCCTGATCTCCAAAAAAGTGGGTGCATGAGTCTCACTCGCAGGCTACATGATCACTCCTAAACACCAATATTTTACCTCTTGATTCATGTTTGTGCTTTAGTGATGTCATGAACCTCAAGAACATTCAAAACCAAGTGTGTTAAAGCTGTGGGTGCCAGTGTCTGAGGGTCCACAGCTTGCTACTCAATATATTTAAGATAGTGTCACACTGGCACCTCAAACTAACCACAGGAATAACTGAATCCATGGGCCTCTCCACCTCCACCACAAACTGTTCCTGATTCCTTGCTCCCTTATCATGGAGAACACACCATCACCCCCGCTAAACTGCTCAAGCCAGCTTCATTCTCTCGCTGACTTATTGGTCCATCTGGCTGCCAACCCCCATCAATCCCACCTTCTGAAGAACTCTCAAACCCATTAGGGATGACCCAGCTCTGCCTCAGCACAGGCATTTTGTATTTCCTTCTGGACTAAAAGTCTTATAACTATTCTCCCAGACTCCATTCTGCCCCTCTGACTGTGGTTAGAGTGATCTTTCTAGAATGCAGTTTTGAGCACGATGTTCTGCATCTTCCATCTTTCAACAACTTCCTTCTGCCCACAAGATACTTACCAAGATCATCCATTACATGGCCCGTTCTGACTGCTCTAATCCCATTCACTGCAGCTCAACAACATTCCTGTACTCACAAGCTACTCCTGCCCACAAGGATGTCTAGTCCTTCTTATCCTTCTCGAATGCCTTGATACTTTATATTGCTTCCCCTTGTTCTAAACATTGGTGAGTAGGAGTCCCATGTCTAACAATGTGATTGTGTTACAGAAAATGCTAATCTGAAAACACATGTTTCCAAAGGGTATATACCCAGAGTAGAATGAGTTAAAGACTGGGTTAGGCAAATTGTAGTACATACAAGTAAGAGTAAGGAGAATTATGAGTTTCAAAGGAGGGAAGTGAGAAAAGTTTGATAGAGAGGGAGTGAGGACCCTGAGAAAGGAGGGAAGAGGATAAGTGAGACAAGTGTGAAAATGAAAGAGAGCCCAGTACTATGATGAGATGCTGTGGCCTGAGAAGAGAGACATGCATTGAGAATTTCTCAGGGATGAGGATGGCCAAAAGATTCTAGAGAACTCGAGTGCCTTTGATTCCATTTTACATGGCTCGTCTTCACTGTTCTGAGTTGTGAGCCTCTCTATTACTCCTAAACCTTCTATAAAAATCTGTTCCAATGGCACTTTGTGTTTGTGCAGAGTAGTGTCCAAGTCAGAGGTGATGCAGGTGTACCAAGAGCAGAGCTGTTGTAGGGAGAAGACAGTAGCCACCATCATCTAAGGGGTGACAGGGAAGCAGGCCACAGTGTAGACTGACCACAGGAAAGTGAGATGCACACAGCTAAACAGACATGTTAGCCAGGGTGTTAGATTTTCTACAACCTGAGGGATTGTGTCTCAGGGAAGTTTATTTAACAACAGAGGAAAAGGAGACTCAATTCCTGTAAGGCTTAAAAAATTAGGAATTTCCAGTTATAGTTATAGCCCATATAAGAAAGTCACAGAATTGCTATGAAGTAAATAAATACTTCTGAAAAAGTGAATATACAATGATAAATACACAAAATATAAATTAAAATGGATATACTTATTGAAAAGTATTGGTAAAATCATGTCAGACTTGAGAAAAGAATTAACTTCACAAGATGACTAATGATTATTTAAAAACTGGAATTTATTTTCCAGATCCTTAATTTACAAAAAAGGTATATTGTTTCCAATGGCTCAGATAAATAATGACATGGTTTGATTCAAACTAGGAGAAAGAGAGAGAGGGAAGTGTGTGGAAGAAAAGGGAGAGGTTTATTATCATTGTCCTAGAATTTTCACAAACTCTAAGCTAGAAATTCAGGAAACTAAATCAAATTTCCATTATATCTTACATAATAGAATTTATATAATAGGCAGGTAAAAGTCATCAAGCTTGAGATGTCACAATTCAGGACATATTTTAATGCCAACAGAAATCATTTCAGACATAAAGTGTATTTCCAAAGCCTAAAAAAAATTCTTTCACACACAGCCCCAACAACTATATGTGAGAACATTTGGTACTTACTGCAGAGTCACCAGAGTTTTATGGAGGCTAACATTTCTCTTGGACTTCTATGCTAAACAGAGTTTAAGAAAGCAGTGTGAAGGAATATGTATGAGAGATAATATATCATGATTGCTAAAGCAGAAGCTATATCTCTGAAATTTGGGAGTTCAAGGATTCCTGAAGAGTTGCTAATTAATTTTGATGTATTACGATAAGTTAGGATATGCTGCAGTTATAACCCCAAAGTTCTCAGTGGTGCAGCATAAAAAGATTATTTATTACTCATACAATGTCTTCAGTAGATGTGGGAGACTAGGCAGGACTATTACTCTCCATGATGCTTAGATTCTATGGCTTTTCCATATCAACACACACTCCCATCATGAGTTGCTTTTTAAACACATTAATCTGCAACTCACACTGTGGTTACATGACTATACTAACTGTAACAAAGCCTGTACAAATGAAGAAAACAAAATAAAAGATCAATGAATCAAAAAGTTGGTTTTTTGAAAAGTTAAATAAAATTGAGAAACCTTTAGCCAGTCTAAGAAAAAAAAGAGACAACATACAAATAAATAAAATCCGAAATGAAAAAGGATACATTACAACTGATAGTACAGAAATTCAAAGGATCATTAATGGCTACTATGAGCAACCATATGCCAAAAACAAAAAGAAGAAAATCTGGAAAAAATGAACAAATTCCTAGACACATACAACCTACCAAGATGGAACCAGGAAGAAATCCAAAACTTGAACAGATCAATAAAGTAACAATATCAAAGCTGTAATAAAAAGTCTCCCAGTAAAGAAAGCCCAAGACCCAGTGGCTTCACTGCTAAGTTCTACCAAACATTTAAAGGAGAGCTAATCAATCCTACTAGAACTTTTCCAAAAAAGAGAGGAGGAGGGAATACTTCCAAACTCTTTCTGCAAGGCCAGTATCACCCTGATACCAAAACCAGAAAAAGACACATCAAGAAAGAAAACTGCAGGCCAATATTGTTAATAAATATTGATGCAAAAATCCTCAACAAAATACTAACAAACCAAATTCAACAGTACATTAAAAAAAATCATTCGTGATGACCAAGTGGGATTTATCTCTGGGATGCTAGGATGGTTCAGCATATGCAGATCAATCAATGTGATACATCATATCAACAGAATGAAGAATAAAAACCATAGGATCATTTCAATTGATGCTAAAAAAGCATTTGATAAAATTCAACATCCTGTCGTGATAAAACTCCTTAAAAAACTGGGTATAGAAGGAACACACCTCAACATAATAAAAGCCATATTTGACAGACCCACAGCTAGTATCATACTGAATGGGGAAAAACTGAAAGCCTTTCCTCTAAGATGTGTAACATGACAAGGATGTCCACTTTCACCATTCTAATTCAACATAGTACTGGAAATCCTGGCTAGAGCAATCAGACAAGATAAAGAAACAAAGGGCATCTACATTAGAAAGGAAGAAGTCAAATTATCCTTGTTTGCTGATGATATGATCTTACATTTGGAAATACCTAAAGACTCCACCAGAAAACTATTAGAAGTGATAAACAAATTCAGTAAAGTAGCAGGATACAAAATCAACAAAAATCGGTAGCATTTCTATATGCCAACAGTGAACAATCTGAAAAAGAAATAAAGTAATCCCATTTACAATAGCTACAAATAAAATTAAATACCTAGGAGTTAACCAAAGAAATGAAAACTATAAAACACTGAAGAAATAAATTGAAGAGGACACCAAAAAATGGAAAAATATTCCATGTTCATGGGTTGGAAGAATTAATATTGTTAAAGTATCCATACTACCCATAGCAATCTATAGATTCAATGCAAGCCCTATCAATACCAACAACATTCTTCAAAGAAATAGAAAAAACAATATGAGGGAGCTAGCAGCCAAGATGGCCGAATAGGAACAGCTCCGGTCTACAGCTCCCAGCGTGAGCGACACAGAAGATGGGTGATTTCTGCATTTCCATCTGAGGTACGGGGTTCATCTCACTAGGGAGTGCCAGACAGTGGGTGCAGGACAGTGGGTGCAGCGCACTGTGTGCGAGCTGAAGCAGGGCGAGGCATTGCCTCACTCGGGCAGCGCAAGGGGTCAGGGAGTTCCCTTTCCGAGTCAAAGAAAGGGGTGACAGATGGCACCTGGAAAATCGGGTCACTCCCACCCTAATACTGTGCTTTTCCAACGGGCTTAAAAAACGGCGCACCAGGAGATTATATCCTGCACCTGTCTCGGAGGGTCCTACGCCCACGGAGTCTCGCTGAATGCTAGCACAGCAGTCTGAGACCAAACTGCAAGGCGGCAGGCAGGCTGGGGAAGGGGCGCCCGCCATTGCCCAGGCTTGCTTAGGTAAACAAAGCAGCTGGGAAGCTCGAACTGGGTGGAGCCCACCACAGCTCAAGGAGGCCTGCCTGCCTCTGCAGGCTCCACCTCTGGGGGCAGGGCACAGACAAACAAAAAGACAGCAGTAACCCCTGCAGACTTAAATGTCCCTGTCTGACAGCTTTGAAGAGAGCAGTGGTTCTCCCAGCACGCAGCTGGAGATCTGAGAACGGGCAGACTGCCTCCTCAAGTGGGTCACTGACCCCTGACCCCCAAGCAGCCTAAATGGGAGGCACCCCCCAGTAGGGGCAGACTGACACCTCACACGGCCGGGTACCCCTCTGAGACAAAAATTCCAGAGAAACGATCAGACAGCAGCATTCGTGGTTCTGCAGCCACCGCTGCTGATACCCAGGCAAACAGGGTCTGGAGTGGACCTCTAGCAAACTCCAACAGACGTGCAGCTGAGGGTCCTGTCTGTTAGAAGGAAAACTAACAAACAGAAAGGGCATCCCCACCAAAAACCCATCTGTACATCACCATCATCAAAGACCAAAAGTAGATAAAACCACAAAGATGGGGAAAAAACAGAGCAGGAAAACTGGAAACTCTAAAAAGCAGAGCGCCTCTCCTCCTCCAAAGGAACGCAGTTCCTCACCAGCAACGGAACAAAGCTGGATGGAGAATGACTTTGACGAGTTGAGAGAAGAAGGCTTCAGACGATCAAACTACTCTGAGCTACAGGAGGAAATTCAAACCAAAGGCAAAGAAGTTAAAAACTTTGAAAAAAATTTAGACGAATGTATAGCTAGAATAACCAATACAGAGAAGTGCTTAAAGGAGCTGATGGAGCTGAAAGCCAAGGCTCGAGAACTACGCGAAGAAAGCAGAAGCCTCAGGACCTGACACGATCAACTGGAAGAAAGGGTATCAGTGATGGAAGATGAAATGAATGAAATGAAGCGAGAAGGGAAGTTTAGAGAAAAAAGAATAAAAAGAAACGAACAAAGCCTCCAAGAAATATGGGACTATGTGAAAAGACCAAATCTACGTCTGATTGGTGTACCTGAAAGTGACAGGGAGAATGGAACCAAGTTGGAAAACACTCTACAGGATATTATCCAGGAGAACTTCCCCAATCTAGCAAGGCAGACCAACATTCAGATTCAGGAAATACAGAGAACACCACAAAGATACTCCTCAAGAAGAGCAACTCCAAGACACATAATTGTCAGATTCACCAAAATTGAAATGAAGGAAAAAATGTTAAGGGCAGCCAGAGACAAAGGTTGGGTCACCCACAAAGGGAAGCCCATCAGACTAACAGCGGATCTCTCGGCAGAAACTCTACAAGCCAGAAGAAAGTGGGGGCCAATATTCAACATTCTTAAAGAAAAGAATTTTCAACCCAGAATTTCATATCCAGCCAAAGTAAGCTTCATAAGTGAAGGAGAAATAAAATACTTTACAGACAAGCAAATGCTGAGAGATTTTGTCACCACCAGGCCTGCCCTAAAAGAGCTCCTGAAGGAAGCACTAAACATGGAAAGGAACAACCGGTACCAGCCACTGCAAAATCATGCCAAATTGTAAAGACCATCGAGGCTAGGAAGAAACTGCATCAACTAACAAGCAAAATAACCAGCTAACATCATAATGACAGGATCAAATTCACACATAACAATATTAACTTTAAATGTAAATGCACTAAATGCTCCAATTAAAAGACACAGACTGGCAAACTGGATAAAGAGTCAAGACCCATCAGTGTGCTGTATTCAGGAAACCCATCTCACGTGCAGAGACACACATAGGCTCAAAATAAAAGGATGGAGGAAGATCTACCAAGCCAATGGAAAACAAAAAAAGGCAGGGGTTGCAATCCTAGTCTCGGATAAAACAGACTTTAAACCAACAAAGATCAAAAGAGACAAAGAAGGCCATTACATAATGGTAAAGGGATCAATTCAACAAGAAGAGCTGACTATCCTAAATATGTATACACCCAATACAGGAGCACCCAGATTCATAAAGGAAGTCCTGAGTGACCTACAAAGAGACTTAGACTCCCATATAATAATGGGACACTTTAAGACTTCACTGTCAACATTAGACAGATCAACGAGACAGAAAGTTAACAAGGATACCCAGGAATTGAACTCAGCTCTGCACCAAGCGGACCTAATAGACATCTACGGAACTCTCCACCCCAAATCAACAGAATATACATTCTTTTCAGCACCACACCTTACCTATTCCAAAATTGACCACATAGTTGGAAGTAAAGCTCTCCTCAGAAAATGTAAAAGAACAGAAATTATAACAAACTGTCTCTTAGACCACAGTGCAATCAAACTAGAACTCAGGATTAAGAAACTCATTCCAAACCGCTCAACTACATGGAAACTGAACAACCTGCTCCTGAATGACTACTGGGTACATAACAAAATGAAGGCAGAAATAAAGATGTTCTTTGAAACCAACGAGAACAAAGACACAACATACCAGAATCTCTGGGACACATTCAAAGCAGTGTGTAGAGGGAAATTTATAGCACTAAATGCCCACAAGAGAAAGCAGGAAAGATCCAAAATTGACACCCTAACATCAAAAGTAAAAGAACTAGAAAAGCAAGAGCAAACACATTCAAAAGCTAGCAGAAGGCAAGAAATAACTAAAATCAGAGCAGAACTGAAGGAAATAGAGACACAAAAAACCCTTCAAAAAATCAATGAATCCAGGAGCTGGTTTTTTGAAAGGATCAACAAAATTGATAGACTGCTAGCAAGACTAATAAAGAAGAAAAGAGAGAAGAATCAAATAGATGCAATAAAAAATGATAAAGGGGATATCACCACTGATCCCACAGAAATACAAACTACCATCAGAGAATACTACAAACACCTCTACACAAATAAACTAGAAAATCTAGAAGAAATGGATAAATTCCTTGACACATAGACCCTCCCAAGACTAAACCAGGAAGAAGTTGAGTCTCTGAATAGACCAATAACAGGCTCTGAAATTGTGGCAATAATCAATAGCTTACCAACCAAAAAGAGTCCAGGACCAGAAGGATTCACTGCCGAATTCTACCAGAGGTACAAGGAGGAACTGGTACCATTCCTTCTGAAACTATTCCAATCAACAGAAAAAGAGGGAATCCTCCCTCACTCATTTTATGAGGCCAGCATCATCCTGATACCAAAGCCGGGCAGAGATACAACCAAAAAAGAGAATTTTAGACCAATATCCTTGATGAACATTGATGCAAAAATCCTCAATAAAATACTGGCAAACCGAATCCAGCAGCACATCAAAAAGCTTATCCACCATGATCAAGTGGGCTTCATCCCTGGGATGCAAGGCTGGTTCAATATACGCAAATCAATAAATGTAATCCAGCATATAAACAGAACCAAAGACAAAAACCACATGATTATCTCAATAGATGCAGAAAAGGCCTTTGACAAAATTCAACAACCCTTCATGCTAAAAACTCTCAATAAATTGGGTATTGATGGGATGTATCTCAAAATAATAAGAGCTATCTATGACAAACCAACAGCCAATATCATACTGAATGGGCAAAAACTGGAAGCATTCCCTTTGAAAACTGGCACAAGACAGGGATGCCCTCTCTCACCACTCCTATTCAACATAGTGTTGGAAGTTCTGGCCAGGGCAATTAGGCAGGAGAAGGAAATAAAGGGTATTCAATTAGGAAAAGAGGAAGTCAAATTGTCCCTATTTGCAGATGACATGATTGTATATCTAGAAAACCCCATCGTCTCAGCCCAAAATCTCCTTAAGCTGATAGGCAGCTTCAGCAAAGTCTCAGGATACAAAATCAATGTACAAAAATCACAAGCATTCCTATACACTATACACCAATAACAGACAAACAGAAAGCCAAATCATGAGTGAACTCCCCCATTCACAGTTGCTACAAAGAGAATAAAACACTTAGGAATCCAACTTACAAGGGATGGGAAGGACCTCTTCAAGGAGAGCTACAAACCACTACTCAACGAAATAAAAGAGGACACAAAAAAATGGAAGAACATTCCATGCTCATGGATAGGAAGAATCAATATCCTGAAAATGGCCATACTGCCCAAGGTAATTTATAGATTCAATGCCATCCCCATCAAGCTACCAATGCCTTTCTTCACAGAATTGGAAAAAACTACTTTAAAGTTCATATGGAACCAAAAAAGAGCCTGCATTGCCAAGACAATCCTAAGCCAAAAGAACAAAGCTGGAGGCATCATGCTACCTGACTTCAAACTATACCACAAGGCTACAGTAACCAAAACAGCATGGTACTGGTACCAAAACAGAGATATAGACCAATGGAACAGAACAGAAGCCTCAGAAATAACATCACACATCTACAACCATCTGATTTTGACAAATCTGACAAAAACAAGAAATGGGGAAAAGATTCCCTATTTAATAAATGGTGCTGGGAAAACTGGCTAGCCATATGTAGAAAGCTGAAACTGGATCCCTTCCTTACACCTTATACAAAAATTAATTCAAGATGGATTAAAGACTTAAATGTTAGACCTAAAACCATAAAAACCCTAGAAGAAAACCTAGGCAATACCATTCAGGACACAGGCATGGGCAAGGACTTCATGACTAAAACACCAAAAGCAATGACAACAAAAGCCAAAATTGACAAATGGGATCTAATTAAACTAAAGAGCTTCTGCACAGCAAAAGAAACTACCATCAGAGTGAACAGGCAACCTACAGAATGGGAGAAAATTTCTGCAATCTACTCATCTAACAAAGGGCTAATATCCAGAATCTACAAAGAAACAAATTTACAAGAAAAAATCAAACAACCCCATCAAAAAGTGGGCAAAGGATATGAACAGACACTTTTCAAAAGAAGACATTTATGCAGCCAACAGACACATGAAAAAATGCTCATCATCACTGGTCATCAGAGAAATGCAAATCAAAACCACAATGAGATACCATCTCACACCAGTTAGAATGGCAATCATTAAAAAATCAGGAAACAAAGGTGCTGGAGAGGATGTGGAGAAATATGAATGCTTTTACACTGTTGGTGGGAACGTAAACTAGTTCAACCATTGTGGAAGACAGTGTGGCGATTCCTCAGGGATCTAGAACTAGAAATACCATTTGACCCAGCCATCCCATTACTGGGTATATACCCAAAGGATTATAAATCATGCTACTATAAAGACACATGCACACATATGATTATTGCGGCACTATTCATAATAGCAAAGACTTGGAACCAACCCAAATGTCCATCAGTGATAGACTAGATTAAGAAAATGTGGCACATATATACTATGGAATACTATGCAGTCATAAAAGAGGATGAGTTCATGTCCTTTGTAAGGACATGGATGAAGCTGGAAACCATCATTCTCAGCAAACTATCACAAGGACAGAAAACCAAACACTGCATGTTCTCACTCATAGATGGGAATTGAACAATGGGAACAGTTGGACACAGGGCAGGGAACACCACACACCAGGGCCTGTCTTGGGGTGGGGGGCAGGGGGAGGGATAGCATTAGGAGAAATACCTAATGTAAATGACGAGTTACTGGGTGCAGCAAGCCAACATGGCACATGTATACATATGTAACAAACCTGCACGTTGTGCACATGTACCCTAGAACTTAAAGTATAATTTAAAAAAAAGTGGGGGGGAAGAATCCCAAATAAAAAAAGATGCCATAAAAGGTAAAAAAAAAAAGAAAAGAAAAGAAAAGCTTCTACACAGCAAAATAACTGAACAGATTGATTAGCTGAATATTGCTAATCATCAGATAAATGCAAATTAAAACCACCAGCCAGAATGGCTATTATTTAAAAAGTCACAAAATAACAGATGTTGGTGAGAATGTGAAGAAAAGGGAACACTTATACACTGTTAGTGGGAAGGTAAATTAGTACAACCTCTATGGAAAACAGTATGGAGATTTCTCAAACAACTAAAAATAGAAGTACAATTCGATCCAGCAAACCCACTACTGAGTGTCTACCCAAAGGAAAAGCAATCATTTTATCAAAAAGATACCCACAGACATGTTTATCACAGCACTGTTCACCATAGCAAAGATATGGAATCAACCTGTCTAAGAACAGATGACTGGATAAAGAAAATATGGTACATATATACCATGGAATACTACTCAGACATAAAAAAGAATGAAATAATGTCTTTTGCAGCAACATAGATGGAACTGGAGGCCATTATCTTAAGTGAAATAACTCAGAAACAGAAAGCCAAATACTTCAGGTTTTCATTTGTAAGTGGGAGCTAAATAATGTGTACATATGGACATAAAGTGTAGAATAACAGACATTGGAGACTACAAGAGGTGGGAGGTTGGGAGGTGAGCGAGGGATGAGAAATTACTTAATGTATACAATGTACACTATTTGGGTGATGGCTATACTAAGAGCCCAGACTTCACCAGTAGGCAATATACCCATGTATCAAAACTGCATTTGTATCCTCTAAATTTATGTAAATAAAAAAGAATTGAACAAATAAAATGTACAAATATAAAATAAAACAAAATAATTTTAAAAAGAGGATCAGAAATCTTGGCAAATATTAGTAATGTCTACTACAGATACAAAGATTATTTTTAAATTTTACTTGTAGGCAAAGAAGGAAAAATAAAATAAATTGTTATATAGTAAAAATAAAATTAAAATGTTTCCAAGTATTTTCAAGTATCAGAAGTTTTTTCCCACCTCCCTCCCACTTGTTTCTTGTTTCAGACTCTTGTGACCAAGGAAAAAAGAAATAAAAAATAGACTTCAAACACTTTATTTATTTTAATCCAAGCCA
This sequence comes from Homo sapiens, assembly GCF_000001405.40. Lineage (NCBI taxonomy): Eukaryota > Metazoa > Chordata > Mammalia > Primates > Hominidae > Homo > Homo sapiens. The sequence goes on from NC_000023.11 coordinate 14,816,492, forward strand.
TGTCATTAATGGGGGAATGAGAGCTTTATTTAACCTATCATAGGGTTTCTCAACCTCGACATTATTGACATTTTGAGCTGGATCATTCTTGGGCACTGTCCTGTGCATTGCAGGATGTGTTAGCAGCCTTTCTGGCCTCTACCCACCAGATTCCACTCCAGTTGTGAAAAGCAAAAGTGTCTTCAGACATTATCAAATGCTCCTGGCAGAGTGAGAACATTAATTCTGATTGAGAACCACTTTTCTAAGTTTCCTTTGACCAGTAAATCATCTAAAAGGATGAAGATGATCTAAAACATCAACTGGCCCATATAGAGGTGGAGTAGACCAAAGATGAAAGAAACACCTTCTCCTAGATCTACCACTTATTTCCCCTGTGACTTTGGGCAAGTTTCTGAACCACTCTTTACCTTATCTATAAAAGGAGAATAATGTTACCTAGCTCACAAGCTTATTGTAAGAATTAAATGAGACACTACCTACTATTTTCTCTCTGTTTTGGGAAACATCCTATTATATGCCCAGTTCCTATATAGACACAGGGAGTCTATTTCTGAACTTTCCGTTCTCTTCTATTTGTGTCTCTGCATATTTCTGTGAGAATTCCCCACTGTTTTTATTAACCATTATTATTATTAGCCCTCTATTATCCACAGGTGACTTGTCTGAGAAACTCGGCCATTTGGAAAGAGGCTGGAAACTGAGAAGTGAAGAAAAAGGCATGTAGAAGCCCTGCACTAAAGGTCAGATACATTTCTCACCATAAAGCCCCCCAAGGTTATTAAGATGGTTTATAAATTATTTCCTCCTCTGCCCCTACATCCTCTTGTGCCTCGCATACAGGTATAGACACCCAATAAATGATTGCTGAGAAACGAAATGACCAATTTCAGACATAAGGCAAACAAGATTATCATTATCAGGCTTCTCCACATCACCAAAGAAGTCCCAAATTAGGTAGGATAGGGATAGGGAAGGTGTTAATACAATCAGAACTGGTGTCAAGATGTCAGTAGTAAGAAGTAACAGGTCTGACATTAAAAGAGTAAATTAAAGGGCAGACATTAATTTAAAAATAAAAACTACATGCTCTGGAGAGTAAGCAGCCATAAACACCACAATAACCCCCTAGCTGCATTACATTGTCAGCGCATAATAACTGACATTCCTAATAATGACTCTGACATTTTGAAAAAAATGCTAATTTCTGTTCAGCATGTTCCATTTAAAAAAAATTCAGGGTAGTGTATAAGGCATTTGAAAAAGATTTCCATCACAGACTTGTAAAATATGTGATTTGCAATGCACTTTAGGGATTACCTAATCTAATTGTTTTCTAGATGAAGAAAGTCAGTTCCGGAAAGATGAAGTGCACTTGCCCAAGGTCAGGCACCAGAGAGACAGAAATGGAATAAAGGCCTTAGTTTGCCAACTCCACAGCAACTGCTTTTTCCACTGCTGCACATCTGCACAAACATAAATATATATTTTAAATTTATTACGAGTACCAAATTTAATATTTGGCAACTCAACAGGGATAGACTTCAAATATTTGGAATTTCCCTCACTGAGCTATTAATAAACCGGTCCTCATTGAGCCTTTGTATTGCTCAAAAAAATTAGATCTGATGGGTGGGTGTCAAAGGAGTGAGAAAGCATAATGCTTGACTCAGGTGAATTTTTAGAAGGGAGGGTAAGATTTACATGTAAGAAGTCAGAGCTATGGAAAGCAGTAGGGAGAGTGGTGCCCTGGGAATGGAGGGATAGGAAATGGCAACCCATGACTGCTCGTCAAAGAAGGTACGGGGTGGGGTGGGGCAGATCTCTTGGGCTGGACCCAGAAGCATATCTGAGTTGGACCCAGAAGCATATGTAGGCCTTATTAAAAAAAAAAAAAAAAGAGAGAGACTCTAGATGTGAAGAACATTAGAAAACACTGGCGGGGGGTTGGGTGGAAGCCTGGATCATGTTCCAAAACATTCATTCAAACAAACAATTTAATAAGCATGAGTTACTTATGAAGATTGGGGGGGATGTTATAGAAAATATTAAAAATTGAGGCTTCCCTGGAAAATCTAAGTTGAAGGGATGAGAGAATAAGGAAAATGGTCCAAACTGCTCTAGAAGGGCACTATCTGGTAGAAATATAACGCATGCCACACATATAAAGTTTTCTAATAAACCCATTAAAAAAGCAAAAAGCAACAGTTGACATTTACTTTAATATTTTAACTAATTCAGTATATCCAAAATGCTATTATTTCAATATGCAATTGATATTCAAAAATTATGGAGACGTTTTACATTATTTTACTCGTACGAAGTCTTTGAAATATAATGTGCATGTCACACTTAAGCATATCTCAATTTGGGTACTAAATTTTCAACAGAAGCACTTGATCTGAACTTAGATATGGTAAAATTTGCAACTGAAAAAGTGAATTCACATACTCAAGTTGTTCCAAACACACTTAAAAGTTTTCCAATAATTGCATCAAATATCAAAAAATCATCTTCCATTAATATTCAAATCCACACCGACAAAACTGCTTCAGTTTTTTAAATTTAAATGCCAATTAACTAATAGTAATTCAAAGTTCAGTTCCCCAGCCCCCCTGGACAAATTTCAAGAGTTGAGTCATACAGGTGGCTAGTGGTTATGCATTAGGCAGCTCAGGTCTAGAAGATGGGTTCTAGGGGTGGAGCAGGGTTGTCCCATGACATAAGGCCCTTGGAACATAGACCCAGAATGCACAGAGGTAGACTCTGTATATGAGCTAGTCCACAAAACAGAGCCACTCTATATTATCCAACACTTGGAGAGCATCAAGATAAAAATAGATTTCTAGAGAGGTTAATATGCAGCAGAACTGAGAAAAAAAAACAGGGAAGCCAATGAACAGTTTATTGTCATAAATAAAATGTGAAGTAATGAGGACTCAAACTGGAGCTGAGAAGGAGAAACGCAGGGGAGCCGAGGATCTGAGAGGCAATTGGATGGAAGAACCGACAAGACTGAAGAAGAGATAGGATACAGAAAAACAGCCCCCAGCTAAAGACCTCAGAGGAACCTGGTTTTTGTTTGATTGGTTGGTTGGGTTTTGTTTTTGTGTTTGTTTATTCTCTATTCTCTTTTCTACACATATTTTATAGGAAAAAGTATTATAACCAAAGGAGTGAAGTACTGTGAAGATCTGTTTCAAGGAAACCACTGCAAAGAGCACCCCACTCAATGTCTGCCTGAATAGGCAATCTATTACACAGCAATGACAAAGTTCTGCCATTTTGGATGTCAAAATATTTCTCAGTTTCATTCATTTGCCTTACGACTACCCTGATCAGGCCACATCTTTTACCCGGATTGTTGCAGTAGCATCCTAACACTGCCTGCTTAGTATTGCTCCACCCCAACCCATTCTCCAAATTGTAGCCGGAGTACTCTCTCCAAACACAAATCAGATCATGTCACTTCCTTGTTTAAAACAAGTCAGAGGCTTCCCATTGTCCCCCAAGTGAACCCATTAACATGATTTTGCAAGACCTTCATGATGCAGCCTTTCCTTCCTTCTCCAGCCTTACATTTCACCATCCCCTGCCTTTCTCACCACTCAACTAACCTACCCATCCCTCTTCCCTAGTCCTATCCTCCTGATTGGTTCTCTCTTCCTGGAAAACACTAATCTCTCTCTCTTTCTCTATCTCCATCCCTCTGTCTCTGCCTATGTCTCTCTTCTTTCTCCTTCCCCTTCTCTCTCCAACTCTCACTTCCCAGCCTTTTCCCTTCTTGTTCCTCTGCCTGAAATAATCTGTTCTTTACTGGTATGCTTCCTACTTCCTTATGTTACAGTTGAAACCCATGTCATTGCTTTGGTGATACCCCAAGACTGGGTTAGAGTCATGTCTTATATACTCCCACAACTACTGAACTTTATTGTATTGTAATATCCATTGTATTGGTATTATAATTGTCCATGTCATTTGTTCTTTTTTGTTTTCCAACTAGAAGATAAGCTCATTAAGGACAAGGACTTTGTAAGAGTTTAGCTGATAGGAGACACAGAATAAAAATGGGTTACATAAATAAATAGAATGTAATACAATTTAATATCAAAAGTAACTCTGACTTACTAAATGCAGAGTAGTGGCAATAAATAATTTTGTTAGGGCATCAATCCAATTAGACCTAAATTTTACCTTCTTAAAGTTTAAATCTAAAAAAGATAACTGAGAAAGATAGATAGCAATGATCTCAGCTGTCCAGATCTTTATAAAAAAAATTGTATTTTTGTTATTAAAATGCATTTTATTATAGTTATAGATGTTAACATGAGGAAAAGCTGGGGGGATGGTATACAGGAACTCTATGCTATTTTTGCAACTCATTGAAAGCAAATCTAAAATGATCCCAAATTTAAAAGCTTTTTAAAATGATTTTGGATGCATTCTCTCCTTCTTAGGTATGTAATACCCTTCAAAAAAGGAATTTCATGAAAATGTGAGGGCAAGAGAATGAAAATCTGAATGTTTTCCAAAATAAATATTGATCATGGGTCTCAGATATATATTCTGAATGCCTAAAATATTCTCTTCATTGCATTACTAGACATGTTATGATGAGTCTGGTCTATACAACTTTTTTTTTTGCTATAAAGATAAAAGTAAATATAGAAAATTAAGATTGTTTTGCCATAAACTGCTTTGGTTCTCAAAAATGCTTTGATTCTCAAAATTCCATAATGCCTACAATGGCTAAAATACTATTCTTAGTTAAGAAACTGCCATATCAATTTAGTTGAAACACACTATAATTGTATCACAGTTCAGTAGTGGATTATGTGTCTTAATTACAGAAAACCCTTAAGAGAGAGAAAAATCATATGAAAAGTGAAGCCCCATGCTGAGGGTGTAAGTCATAAAAGCCAGTTAAGCAGGGAAAAGAGTCTATCTAATTTCATGTTTTAATTATATTTTAAAATATTTGTTCAGAAAATGCCATCCTCTAACAATTAACCCTCAGTCACACAGCTGACAAATAGTTAAGACATATGACATGACATAGACCCTAACAGAGTAAGACAAAACATTCAGTATAATTTATGACATATATAACCTAGTTATTTAAACAGATGATTATTCTGGTTCTCTTTTAGTCTGCTACAAATTCACAAGGGGCTTTTCTTATCATCTGGGGAGTCCTGTTAAGCCCCCAGAACTGAAGCCAATAGGCATCAAGTGTGTATTCATTCTAAAGTCAGCTGCTAACTTAGTGAGAGGTTGCCAGACTGGTTCAGTAACCACTACCTACCCTCAACTTATTTAGGAGAGACCCAGAGAGACAGAAAAATGAGGAGAGGTGATTTCTCAAAGTGAGAAAAAATGAGAGCATCCTGGCATTTTGTTTTCTTCCTCATAGGGACATTCTCTCCTCCTTCAAGCCAGGTCAAGGGGATAGCAAGAAAATCCTTTGAAGAGACGGGAGAAATCCTTGTCAGAAGGGAAGAAGAGCACCTCACTCTGCAGTTGGTGCTTGCTGAGCTGCACATATTCACAGGTTTGCCCTGTCTCACCAGACTAGAGTGCAAGAGGATTCTCAGGAAGACCTGATAGCAATCATAGACCTTTAAGGAGCGCCAAGACTAGTGCCAGACTGTCCTTTGGAGAGGTCTGAGAGCTGCCCCCTGAGAGCTGGGAGAGAAGGAAGCAGTGCAAGCAACTGTACTTCCTGAGATTCAGGGGCATAAGGGTGACAGGTTTCTCTGTAGGCCAAATAGATGCTGTGGGAGGTAGGTAGCCAACTCTGCTTGATTGCCTGATCCTCCACTGATGCCATGGGGGAAAATGGAACAGGGCTGGGGTAGCCTTCACATTATCACTGTAAGGGATTAAACACTTGAATGTTAATTTCATTTTGGCTTGTGGTCTTAATCAACTGCCCTCACAACTGGCAGCTCAGCTCTCTCTAGCTTGCCTGAGCTCCTGACAGAAACTGAGGCCAATGGAGGTTAAAGAACTGGCCTAGTATTCCTAACTAGTAAATGGTGCATCCTAGATTTGAACACTGCCCATTTTCTAAAAAGTAGTCTTTACTTTCTAAGAATAATATACATGATTAGCGAAGAGTAATTAAACCCACAAGATTGAGCTCTTTCAAGCAGAGTTCACAAAATGGTCAACTTCAGCAGAAGACTTGTTACTCATTGCAAATAATACAAAGGGTTCCGGTATTAATTTCCAATCTGACCTCTCCTGAAGCCACGTATGTGGTTAAGGGAAATAACTTTCTTCTGGTTCTACAAACCCTAGAAAATTCCTATTAACTTTATTTCTAGATTTGCTTCCCTCTAATGGTTCTGAAAAATGTTCGTTGCTCTTTTTACCTGAAAAGAATTCTCTCACTATTCTGAACCATGGTAGTTTTTTATTTTGAAGATGGGAATCACATTATATTTGGTGTTAACTTTATACCTGATATATTCAGTAGTTTCAGACATATAGCCTGAAAAATGATTCTACTCTGCAGATTAATATCGCTATGCTAGTTTGCTTTGGGTTAATGTTTGCGTACTATATTTTTGCCTACCCTTTTACTTTTTTTTTTTTTTTTTTTTTGAGACGAGTTTCGCTCTTGTTGCCCAGGCTGGAGTGCAGTGGCGCGATCTTGGCTCACTGCAACCTCAGCCTTCCAGTTTCAAGCGATTCTCCTACCTCAGCCTCCCGAGTAGCTGGGATTACAGGCATGCACCACCACACCCAGCTAATTTTTTGTATTTTTAATAGAGATGGGGCTTCACCATGCTGGCCAGGATGGTCTCAATCCCTTGACCTCGTGATCCGCCCGCCCCGGCCTCCCAAAGTGCTGGGATTGCAGGCGTGAGCCACTGTGCCCAGCTACCCTTTTACTTTTTACCTTTCTGTATCTTACTCTTTAAAATATGTCTCTTGAATGCAGCACAGACACATGAAGAAATGCACAAATAAAACCAACAAATTGTTTCTTTTACCTGGAATGTTCAGTCCCTTTTCATTTAATGTAATTACTGATATAGTTGAACTTACAGCGACCATCTTACTGTTTGTTTTCTATTTGGCCTATCTAGTTCCTTATTTCCTCTTTACTTGCCTTCTTTTCAACTAATTATATTTTTTCTACTTTTTCCTTACATTGATGTTTTGTTAATAATTATTTGTTAAGGTAAATTTACTAAAACAAAATGCACAGATTTTTAAGATATAGTTTGATAATTTTTGACAAATGTACACATTTGGGTAACCACCACCCCAATCAAGATATAGAACATTTCTATCATTCCAGAAAGTTTCCATGACCCCTTCTAGTTAACACCTCCCCCAGTCATACATTTGTTCTAGAACTTCATATAAATGGATGTCATGCTGGACCCCTACACACTCCAATAAGGAGAGCACCAGGTTTGAGAGGCCAAAGAAGAGACCCAGAGCTAGCAAATGAGCCATAGGGTTTTTTGAGGCAAACTTACATACAGGGTGGTCCAGTGGCAGCAGACTGGACAGGAGAACTGCCACTGCCTACAGAAAGCATGCAGTTTATATAGTGTTTTCACTTAACACCCTCCCCCTAACAACCCTTGCCCGAAAACCTTCATTTAATCCAAAATAAAGGGTTTCAATCCCTTGTGCACCCACTTTCCACAGGACAGGGGCTGGAGGCTCAGATGTTCCTCATAGATAAGAAATGAATCTTTGGGTTGGCCACACTGGGACCTCCAAACACACATTTGGGTTTATCTGCCATACAGAGCCATTCTTGGGGTACGCTTAACTTATTGCTGTCAGGTGCATCTATCATACACAAGTATGTCTACCATACAATGGAAACATAAAGTATTTACTCTTTTACGGTTTTTTTTACACATTATGTTTATGAGATTAATCCATGTCTTTGTTCTATTTCTAACTAGTATTCCATGGTAGGAATATAAATTCCACAACCTATTTATTCTGCTATTAAAGGACATTTAGGTTGTTTCCTTCAGAGGCTATTACATATAAAACTATCACAAACATTAGTGTACAGGTGTTTCTGTGGACAAATATTTTCATTTATTTTAAGCAACTACTTAGGAGTGCTAAGTCACAGAGGTTTCTATTAACTTTTGGTGTTTGACTTACAGATCACAAAACACATATTTGGCTTATCACGTCATAATACCTATTATTTTTTCATTTTCCTGATACTTCTAGAACGTAGTAACTTAAAATCTATTTGCTGTCCTAAATTCTTTTTGAGTGTTGTTATGCATTTTAGTTCCGCAAATAAAGTCAAGACATGGCAATTATTGTCTTGTACAGAAATTATTTATATTTACATACTACATGTATTTTCATATGTTGTTCATTACCTCCTGCATTTCCATGTTCTGTCCAAATATTTCTTGTAGAGGAGGACTGCTGGAAAGGAATTCCCTTGGTCTTTGTCTGAAAATGTCTTTATCGTTTCCTTATTTTTGAAGCAAATTTTTGCTAGGCATAGAATTCTAGGCTATTTTTTATAAGCAGTTTTAAAGATATTAATACCACTGCATTTGGGATTTGTTTCTGACAAGACATCAGCTGTCAGTTACATTGTTGCTTCTTTGAAGGCAATCTTCTCCAACCACTTTAAGATCTTCTCAATGACTTTGCCTTTGTTTATCTGATTTTCCATGAAGTGCGTGTGCTTTCTTCTTTTTTTTCCTACTTGGGGTTTTGTGAACTTGAGTCTCTGGGTTGATGTCGTTCATCAGTTTTAAACAAATTATCGGTTATTACCTTTTCAAATAATGCTTTAGCCTTATTCTCTTTCTCCTTTTCCTCTGGGGCTTCAATTGTGTGTATGTCTCACATGTCTATTATATGCTAGTCTTTTTCCCACTTTGTTTTCCCTCTCTGTGTTTCTGTTTAAGTATTTTATATTGATCTATATCTCAGTTTACTAATTCTGGATTCTGCTATGTGCCCTCTCCAGCTAAACTCATTCATTGTTTTTAATTTCAGATATTGCATTTTTTAGTTCCAAACTTTCTGATTCTTATTTAAACATTCCGATGGTTTTCAATTTTCCATCCTTTCATCTTTTGTCCTCTCTATTTTGAACATATCATTTAACATATTATAATTATCTGCTAACATTAATATCTGTCATATCTGTGGATCTGCATTTTTCTCTTGATTTTCATTGTCTTTCATCTTTACATATCTAGATATTATTATATTGTGTGCCAGGCACTGTATATAGAAGAACCATAGATGTTCCAGATAATTTTATCTTCCACCAGAGAGGATTTCCCTTTTACTCCATTAGGCAATAAGAGTGAGTGGTTAATCAACTCAATCCAATCAGAATTTGTGCTTAATCAGAAATATCCTGCAAGTTTAGTAAGATTCAAGCTATCTCTGGTATGTTCATCTTCCTAAATCCTGAAGGCTATACATTGCCTTAGCCCTGGAAGTTAACAGAGACAGTTCTGTCCTTCAAAAGTTTTCAGCTTAGCTCTTTAGCCTCCTACTTCATTCAGTTTCAAAACTTGGCAAATGTCTTGAAAGGGAAACCAGCCATGTGTTTTAAGTAGAGCTCCTCCCTGGCAGCACTGTACAATTTAAAGAAATTTCAATCTGCCTTTTAGAAGTTTTGGGGCTAGCTCTCCCATTTCTTGTGTAACCACAGAACTATGAAAATATTCCAAGATGAAAACTGTTTGTGCATTTAAGCCTCCTCCATATTTTAATCTGTCATGACAGCACCATACAGCTGCTAAAAGGTTGCTGACTTCTGTCCCCAAGCAGAAGCCCTTTCCTTGGACTAAGCCTGTTTCACAGCCTGTCCCTAGAGAAACAAAGAGTGTACCGTTATTAAGTTACTTTGGAATAATTCTCCCTTTTCTGTAATTTTAGCTCATCTAGACCTTATTTCCACAGCTCTCCATTGCCTTTAAGATGATTTCTGTAATGTATCCAGTTTTGTCTAGTGGGAGAGTATGCCTGTAGCAACCTATTTTATTTCACTCTTAAGTGAAAGTCATTTTTTCAATGTAATTTTAATCTGCATTTCACTTGAGTGAAGTTGCACATGTTAAGAGTTCACTTGCATTTCTTTTTCTGTTAACTATTTTTAAGTTTCCTTGCCGCTTTTTCTATTGACTCTTTTCATTTTCAAGACATTTTCTCTGTATTATCGAGATTAGTTCTCTGAGACAGGAGTCACAAATAATGTTTTTCCAGTGTGTATCTTGTCTTTTAACTTATGTTGTTGTTTTTTAATTGAAGATGTTTTGGCTTTTTGTATGTGACTGAATTTCATGGCTTCTGACTTTTGTGACATAGATTGATGAGTCTTCCCTACTCTAAGTTAGTAAGAAAATTATCCCTTGCTTTCATCTAATATTTTTGTTTCTTTTTTTTACATTTGAAATTTTGTTCTATTTCAAATTGATCATGCTGATAGGCACATCCCTTCCTTTCTCCCCAGATGGCTACTTAGATTTCCTAAGATCATCTTTTCCTCACTAAAGTGGAATGTCATCATTATCATATGCTAAATTCTCATGTGTATCTGATCCTATTTCTGAACTTTCTATTCTATTGTAGCAGGTGTCTATTTGCACACTAGAAACAAACTTTTATTGATATTATATATTTTAATATCCAGCACAGTGGATCTCTATTCCCCACATGCTTTTCTTTTTCAGAGTTTTCATAGCTTTTCTGGCTTGCAAATTTTTCCACAGAATTTTAGAATCAGCTTGATTTGTGCCTTAGACAGCTTATTGGTATTTTTATCAGGAGTGAGTTAAATCTGTAAACTAACATAGAGAGAATTGACAGTGACGTTTAGTTTTCCTATCCAAGGATATGATATATATTACTATTTTAAAGCCATTTTTTGAAATCTTTTAGTATTATTTAAATGGCTTTTTTCATTCAGATCTTACACATTTCTTGTGATTAGTACATTTTAGTTGTTAATGTAATTATATTTGCTTTCTTATATAGTCTCATTTTGAAGACAACAGATTGGAATGAACTTTTCAATACCTGAAAATGAGATTGCTCTTCAGTACCTAAAAGTACCAAAGAAGCCACAGTGATGAACCAGAATTACTATCTGAGGGTAAAGAACGAAGGCTGCTCTCATTGAGGTCAGCCCATTTAATACAAATTGTTTTCACAAAGTGGGATAGATTTATTGAAGGATTTCAAACTATTCTTCCAAAATCCTCTATATAATTAATCCAAAATAAAAACCTGTGAGTACTCCTTGACTACTCCTGCTCCTTCCACTGACCATCTCATGGTTTTTAACTAATGATGAGCACCAAAATCACACTTGTAGCTTTAAAAAATACATATAGCTAGGCCTTACTCTTGATGATTCTAGTTCAGATATAAAGCAAGTCTAGGAATACCTCCAAGACATTTTGGGTTCAGTTCTAAACCACCAAAACAAAACAAATATTTCAATAAAGTGAGCCACATATTTTTTTGGTTTCCCAGTACATATGAAAGTTATGTTTAATGTTTAAATTATACTTTAGTCTACTAAGTGTATAACAGCATTATGTCTAAAAACCATAATATATATAATACATTAATTTAAAAATACTTTATTCCTAAAAAAGGCTAACCATCACCTGGGCCTTCAGCGAGTTGTAATTTTTTTTGCTAGTCGAGGATCTTTCCGTGATGTTGATGGCTGTTGACTGATCAGGGTGGTGGTTGCTGAATGTTGAGGTGGCTGTGGCAATTTCTTAAAATAAGACAACAATGAAGTTTGCCATGTTGAATGGCTCTTGCTTTCAGGAAAGATTTCTCTGTAGCATGTAATGCCATTTCATTGCATTTTACCCACAGTAGAACTTCTTTCAAAATTGGAGTCAATCCTCTCAACCCCTGCTGCTGCTTTATCAACTAAGTTTATGTACTAAGTCCTTTGCTGTCATTTCCATAATGTTTACAGCACCTTCACCAAGAGTAGATTCCATCTCAAGAAACTACTTGCTTTGCTTATCCATAAGAAACAACCCCTCATCCATTCAAGGTTGATCATGAGATTGCAGCAATTCAGTCACATCTTCAGGCTTCACTTCTAGTGCTAGTTCTTTTGCTATTTCCACCACATCTGCAGTTACTTCCTCCACCAAGTCTTCAATCCCTTAAAGTCATCCATGAGGGCTGGAGTCAACTTTTCCCAAACTCCTGTTAAAGTTTATTTTTGTTGTTGTTGTTGTTGAGACAGTCTCTGTCACCCAGACTGGAAGTGCAGTGGAGCAATCACAGCTCACTGCAGCCCTGTCCTCCCAGGCTCAAGAGATCCTCCCACCTCAGCCTCTCGAGTAGCTGGGACCACAGATGTGCACCATCTTACCTGCCTATTTTTATATTTTGTAGATACAGGGTCTCCCTATGTTGCCCAGGCTGGTCTCAAACTCCTGGAACCAAGGTATTCCTCCTGCCCTGGCCTCCCAAAGTGTTGGGATTACAGGTGTGAGCTACCATACCCAGCTGAATGTTGACATTTTGACCTCCTCCCATGAATCACAAATGTTCTTAATGGCATCTAGAATGTTGAATTCTTTCCAGATAATTTTCAATTTACCCAGATGCATCAGAGGAATCATTATCTATGGCAGCTATAGCCTTACAAGATGTATTTGGGTGTCCAGGAACATTGTCAATGAGCAGTAATATTTTGCCAGAAATCTTTTTGTTCTGAGCAGTAGATCTCAACAGTGGGCTTAAAATATTCAATAAACCATGTTGTAAGAAGATGTGCTGTCACCCAGGCTTGTGGATTCATTTACAGAGCACAGGAAGAATAGATTTAACATAATTCTTAACAGTCCTAGGATTTTCAGAATGGTAAATAAGCATTGTCTTTAAGTCATCAGCTACATTACTCCCTACCAAGAGAGTCAGCCTGTCCTTTGAAGTTTTGAAGCCAGGCATTGACTTCTCTCTAGCTATGAACATCCTAGATAACATCTTCTTCCTGTAGAAGACTGTTTTATTAAAAATCTGATGTTTAGTATGGCTACCTTTATTTGTGACCTTAGATCTTCCAGATAACTTGCTGCAGCTTCTATATCAGTACTTGCTGCTTCACCTCACACTTTTGTGTTATAGAGACGGTTTCTTTCCTTAAACATCATGAACCAACCTTTTCTATCTTCCAGCTTTTCTTCCAATTCCCTCACCTCTCTCAGCTCTCACAGAATTGAAGAGAGTTAGAGAGTGCTCTGGTTAGGCTTTGGCTTAAGGGAATACTGTAATAGAAGAATGTTGATCTATCCAAATCACTCAAGCATTCTCCATACCAAAGATAAGGACGTCTTGCTTTCTTAGTATGTTCACTGAAGTAGCACTTTTAATTTCAAGAACGTTTCCCTTGCATTCATGGGTTGGCTAACTGTTGCAAGAAGCCTAGCTTTTAGCTTATCTTGGCTTCCAACTGCCTTCCTCACTAAGCTTAATCATTTCCAGCTTCTGATTTCAAGTGAGAGACATGCAACTCTTCCTTTCACCTGAATACTCAAGAGGCCACTGTAGGCCTCACTTCAATATTGATGTGTATCGGGGAATAGGAATGTCTGATGAGAGGGAGAGAAACAGGGTAACGGCCGGTAGGTAGAGTAGTCAGAACACACATGTTGATCAATTAAGTTTGCCATCTTATATGGGTGTGGTTTGTGGCACCCCAGAACAATTACAATAGTAGTGTCAAAGATCACTGATCACAGATCACCATAACAGACGTACTAATAATGAACAAGTTTGAAATATTGCAGGAATTACCAAAATATGACACAGAGACACAACATGAGCACCTTATGTCAGAAAAATGGTGCTGGTAGACTTGTCTGATGCAGGGTTGTGGAGCTTTCAATTTGTAAAAAATGTAATATATGTGAAGCACAAAAAAACAAGGTATGCCAGTTATATACATGTCTTTGTGTACATGTACATACACACATATTTAGCTCCAGTGATTCTGGTTCCCCACCCTTTAAGAACCATTAATAAAAGAAAAACTAAGTCCAACTGACAATATATCCTAAATATCTCTGCAATACACTTCATCCTTACCTTTGCAAATTTAAATCAATACTTCATCACCTCACATCTAGACCACTCTAGCAATACCCTCATTCCAGAATCTACTTTGCCTCTTACTGTCCTGCCTCCAAACAGCTGACATGGTCACCTATGTAAAAAAGCTGACCATGCCACGTGCCGACATAAATTCCTTCAAGATTCCCCATGTGCGGTGCCTAAATATTTATCCGCTGATGGATGCCCATCCATACCTTTCCACTAGTGTGTTGCACAATGAGACTGAGAAAAATAAAGACAATGTGATTTTTCCATGAAACCAAATGTATTCACTTTAAATTATCTGTATTCTATGATTACACATTTAGTATCACTATATTCTTTGTTTTATGAAATCATGGTGGCAGGGGTAACATTTTTTAATGTCCTGACCTGGCAAAACAAAAAGGTTGTGAACTTTATGTTAGTCTCCACAGTGTTTAAAATGACACTTGCCAATGTGATCAAAAATTCTGGGAACCACTGACTGCAGAATGAAGTACAAGCTCCTTAATGGACCCTCATCTCTGACACAAAGACTAGCCCCTTACTTTCTTAAAACTGTAATACATTTCATTCATTCATGTTTTCTTGAAAAAATTACACTAATATTAGTTTACCACCCACTATGTGCAAAGCATTATGTTAGATGGGATACAAAGATGATCAAGACAGAAAATGGGCTCCGCCTAAAAGGAAGTTAGAGTACTAGGGGTTTTACCTTTTGGAGTCAACAAGCCATGATTTCAAATTGGTGTTAACTATATGACCTGTCTATAATTATTATTAGCTATTAAATTATACCTGTGAACACTGCAAAGAAATGAATCAAGAGCTGAGAGGTGAGAAATGAATGGGTATAAAACTAGGTGAATGGGAAAGTAGGATTGAAGAGAAAGCAGTATAAGCAATGGAAACTGCCTGTCCAGAGTTTGAGGTAGGAGGCAAATCGCTGGTGCTTGAACTGAAAGGATGTCAGAGACTACAGCCCACAGAGATGGGGAACGGAATCTTAGCTAGACTCATGAGGTAGGCTAGATGACACCATACCTTGCTTGCCACATAGGGAATTTGATCTTCATTCTAAAAGTAATGGGAAGTCATTGAATGAACACTGAAACAGTGGAAAGATGATGAATAGTTTTTCAGCAGTGGATGATCAGACTTGTGCTTTGACAAGACAACTGTGGCAGCAGTCTGTAGAACAAAACCGGAAGGAAGCAAGAGTAAAAACAAGGAGACAAGTTGGGAAGCTGCTGAAATAGTCCAGGTTAGAAATAATGGTAGCATGAAATAGGGAGTAGCAACGAAGATGAGGAAAACTCAAAAAAAATTAAAAGATATTTAGGAGAACAGACTGACCACTAACAATCATGTTTACAGTCCCCTGGAAACATCATGGTGTTTCATTTTTTGTTGCCTTTAGAATGACCTACCCTCCTTCTTCCAACATACACTTGATTTTCTAATTTCTAAAAGTAATGAATGTTGTACTAGTTTCCTAGGGCTACTGTAATAAAATACCAAAAACTGGGTGGCTTAAAACAACAGAAATTTATTGTTCCTCAGTTCTGGAGGCTAAAAGTCTGAAATCAAGGTGTTGGCAGAGCCAGGCTCCCTCTGAAACCTTTCTTACCTCTTCCTACCTTCTGGTGATTTGCAGGCAATATTTGGCTTGCAGCTACATAACTCCAGCCCCTGCCTTGTCATGAGCATTTTCCCTGTGTCTCTGTATTAACGTGGCCATCTTCTTAAAAGGACACCGTGAGTCACTGGAATGCAGCCCACCCTACTCCAGTATGACCTCATCTCAACCACATCTGCAACAACCCTATTTCTAAACAAGGCCACATTCTGAAGTACCAGGAGTTAGAACCTCAGCATATCTTTTTGGGGGGACATAATTCAACCCATAAATAAATGCCTACACAAAAAACTGTAGTAGTAGCAAACAGTAAAATGTGAAGTCTCCCTCTCTATCTTCACGCCTAAGCCAATTAATACAGGGTATTCAACTGGCCATAGATATTAGTTCAGGATTGAATGTGTGAATGAATGTGGGGCAGTAAGACATGAGGGAAGATTTTCCTTTGGAAAAGAAGGTTCCTCACTCTTCCATAAAGCTCTCTTCTGGATGGAGTGGTGTGCAGATGTGTATCTTGGAAGTGTTTCAGCCCTTCCATAACATGTGGGGGGCCAACTTTAGGAGGAAGCTGACAATCTCCTTAATATCCTGCTAAGCTGCTGAATCAAACTGACTCAAGCTTGAATGCTTTCCACTGGTTACAACAACCATTATATGTCTTTCATGTGTAAATTTGTTTTGAGTTGGGTTTTCTTTTAGTGTAAGTCTTAATGAATAAAGGATATTAGGCATTGTACAATCATCATCTTCCCATTGCTTCTGCGTTCAGAGTAATTTCTCATTTAGGAATTAAAGAAAACATATCCTTCCTTCCACAATGATTATTTACATAAGGCATGAACAATAACCTAAATGGTAAAATGTAAAAAAAGAAAAAGATTAAGTTCATGTATCTTTTCATTTTCCTTTCATCACCAAAGATGCTGGAACACAGATGATGCAGGGAAATACTTTTGTACAAAATTTCTATCAATGAAAGCACAACACCAGCAAAGATGGATTACCTTGTATTTATCCATTGAAAGAACACATCGGATGGTGAGGACTTTTTGGAATGACAACAAAGCTCTATTTGAATACTTGAATTTTCCCCAAAACAAAAGCCCTGACTTTGAAGAGGGTTACTTATTACCTTGAGTCTCAAAGTGTGGCCCATGAACCAGCAGAATCTGCATCGACTGAGAGCTTGTTAGAAATGCAGTCTCAGGCACCACCCTAGACTTACGGAATCACAAAGTAGAGTTCAACAAGATCTCCAGGTGATAGTATGTATGTTAAAGTTTGAGAAGCACTAGCTTACTACATTGTTAAGACAATGATGCTACTAAAAATGAAAAATCTGTGAAGCCCTGCGCCCTGAAATGGTCAAGCTGATTGTACAGCAGTGGCTCTTAACCCTGGCTGTACATTAGAATCACCTGGGGAGGCTGGGTGTGGGGGGGGTTCACACCTGCAATCTCAGCTAAAATCCCAACTTTGGGAGGCCAAAGTGGGCGCATCGCCTGAGCCCAGGAGTTCCAGACCAGCCTGGGCAGCATGGTGAAACCTCGTCTCTTAAAAAAAAATAAAAATAAAAACCACTATTTATATATGTACACACAAAAATTAGCTGGGTGTGGTGGTGGGCACATGTGGTTCCAGCTACTCAGGGGTGCTGAGGTGGGAGGATCACTTGTGCCTGGGAGGTAGAGGCTGCAGTGAGCTGAGATTGTGCCAGTGCACTCCAGCCTGGGAAACAGAGTGAGACCCTGTCTCAAACAAAAACAAAAACGACAACAAAAAAATCACCTGGGGAGCTTTTAAACTGATGCCAAGGCTCAAGGCAAAACCCCCCTAAACCACATGGATCAAGATCTTTCTTTGAGGTGGGGCATAAGATCAGAAAAACATTTTAAGAAGCCCTTGGGTGATTTTTTTTTTAATTAAAATACTGAGTTTTATTTCACATGTATATTTCTGTCTCCCCACCATTTCCATGTCTGACCACCGCTACTACTATGTCATATCATAACATTCCATACATACTTAAAACAAGAAAGGGTGGAGTTCCATCTTTAAAAACTAAACAGACATGTTGGACAACACATTCTTCACAATGGAACCTGGACAACATTTATCAAACACGGAAGGGAAAGTTCTCACTCTGCATTATAAAAAGGACAGCCAGATATCAACTGTTATGGAAATGAAATAAGATGGAAAATTTTTAATAAATTGTTTAAACTATTTTCTTAAAGAGACTTCCTCCACTGCCAGAGATCTTGAATAGCCTCCTGGTCAGTCACCCAGAAGCAATTCTTCACATAACTGATGAACTTGGCTTCCCTTTGGGAAGAGAACCACCTTTTTCTATGCTTGCTTGCATTTTTGCTTTAACGTCTTCTACAGAACTAGGTCCCTTTGGTGTTTTAGGAGTTTTTTCCTGTTTTTTGAAGGATTCTTGTCCTTTTTATCTTGGTGTTGATGATGGTTTTGAGTCTTTTCCATTCTGATTTGACTTGTGTGCATTTTTGGCTGTAGTATCTTGTATAGATTTCTTCACTGGTGCTTTTTCTTCAGTTTCCTCATCATCAAAATCATCATCATCATCATCATCTTCATCAGCAACAAGTTTTACCTTTTTCTGTGGAAACTTGCTACCACTTCCAGGGACCAACTGCTTTCCAGATATACTTAAGAGTTTCACATTCTCCTCCTCTTCATCTTCTGACTCTGCATCTTCCTCCACAGCTACTAAGTGCTGTCCACTAATATGCACTGGCCCTGAATCACACTTCAACTGTAAGAGCGCTGGTGGTGTTATTTCAAAGCCCCCAAGGGAAAGCTTTGGCTGTACAGACATTTTCAAAGTTGCCAGTGTTAACTTTAATTGGACTGCCTTTGTAATTCATTGCCTCTTCTTCAACAATGTGCAGTTCATCCTTTGCACCAGTCCCTAAACAGACCGTTCTTAAAGATAACTGGTCTCATTTTCATCATTATCCACCTTAAAGTGATCATCTTTATTGGCCTTTAGTTCACAACCGAAAAGTTAGTTCTGGGGCCTCAGGGGGCTCATGTCCATGTCCATCGAATCTTCCATCAGGTGGCTACATGCACTTAGGTGGGAGAGAAGGTGGACAGAGATAAACGACCCCAGCTCAAGAGAAGAGCCGCGCAGGACAGAATCACACCTGGGCGGGTGATTCTTATATACAACTGTGGCTGAGAATTATTAGTGTAGAGCAGCAGTTCTCAAACTTGAGTGTGTATCAGAATAACCTAGAGGGCTTGTTAAGATACAGATTACCATGCCCAACTCTCAATTTCTGATTTAGCAGGTTTCGGGTAGGGCCCAAGAATTAGCATTTCTAATAAATTCTCAGATGTTACTGATGCTGTTCCTCCAGGACCACACTTTGAGAACCACTGATGTAGAGAAAAAAAAGTGACTGAACTGGAAACTCAAAAGGCTGCCCAGGGTCTCTCAAAGGCAAAATAATTCATTACCTCACACCCGTTAGGATGGCCACTATCAAAAGAACAGAAAATAACAAGTGTTAGGAAGGATGCAGAGAAATTGGAATCCTTGTACACTGTTGGTGGGAATGTAAAATAGTGCAGTTATTATTAAAAATAGTACAGAGGTTTCTCAAAAAATTGAAAATAAAATTACCATATGATCTAGCAATCTCACTTCTGTGTATATATCCAAAAGAACTGAAAATAGGATCTCAAACAATTATTTGCACACCCACGTTTATTGCAGTATTATTCACAACAGCCAAGAAGTGGAAGCAACCTAGATGTCTAACAGATGGACAGATAAACAAAATGTGATATATGTATACAATGGAATACTATGCAGCTTTAAACAGAAGGAAATAGTGTCACAAGCTATGACACGAATGAACCTCAAGGACATTATGCTAAGTAAAATAAGCCAGGTACAAAAATATAAATACTCTATGATTCCACTCACATGAAGTATCTAAAGTAGTCAAAATCATAGAAAGTAGAAAGGTGGTTGCCAAGAGCTGGTGGAAGAGAGAGAGGAAATTAACGCTCAATGGGTATAGAGTTTCAGTTTTGCAAGATGAAAAAGTTCTAGAGATCTGCTATACAACAACATGAATATATTTAACACTATTGAACTATATGCTTAAAAATTGTTAGGATGATAAATGTAATGTTTTTTCAACTACAACAAATAAATAGGGCAAAATAATTGAGGTAATCGATTTTTAAAAGCTATTTGCTTTAATGTACATGCATATGTTATTTAAATTTTTACAACAAATCTTATTTCTAAAAAGCTTTAAAGATAATTATTTTACAGTTCCGCAATAAAATAAACCAATTTTTCAACCAAGAAATACTTCAAAATCATGATTTAAATATTTTAGACCCCTTTTTGCTATTCAAAGTGCTTTGGTTTGAACTTTTTTCTCTGTGTAGACATTTTTCTCTGAGATTCTCTCTGAATGATGAGGTAAAACACCATTATATTAAAATACCACTTTAATCTTACAACCGCCCCCAACATGAAATCCTTAGCTTTTGTCAGAACCCCAAAGAGTCCTCTTATCCAAAATTAAGAACTGCTCTCAGAGGATATCCCTACTGGGTATAGTGCCCTATAAGGGTGTTCCCATGGAACTTCAGTAAAACTTTGTATTAATTACCTCAATGTCACCTACAACTCTCTGCCACTGTCTCTTCCATTAAGACTGCAAGCTTTCTGAAAACCAACAAGAGTCTTAAATTTATCTGGCACCTAGATGTGCATGAGAATGTGTTCAATGAAACCTCTATAGACACATGATTGAATAAAAGATCTCTATATTCCCTTCTACTTTGTACACTATTGATAATTTGCAAGAGGTGAAATGTTTTCTATAGGCATATCATTTGGAATGATTAGATCAGGCAAAAGGTACAAATAGAAAACAGAATTCTACCTCCTTTTCTTCTCAAGTGCTGTAGTACTCATAGCGAATAAAGATGTAAGTTTTCCTGGCTAGACACCTTGCACCTTTCCCTGGAATCCCAAGCCCTCAACTGCAGCGATCACCAGCCACTGACAAACACTTCAGAGATTCTCAGGGCCTAGACATGTTTCAAAGAGAAACTACATAAAGGGCTATTTAGAGAACTGACACTTTCATTTTAAAAGTCCCTAAAACATGAACCAGCAATGGTAATGCAATAATTCTGGAGACTGGTGGTTCTAACAAAGAAAACTGAGAGGAAATAGGGAACAGGCACACAGGTATTTAGACATAATTGGAGGGAAGTAGTCAAGAGATAAAACTCAGCTGGGGCCATCAACCAACTCTAATAACTTGCTCATTACAGGATTTAGGATGATGTGGCCCACATTCTCCCTGACAATTCAATTATATTAACAGATTTATACTTTTATAGAATTGTGTATTATGTGCAACTTTTCCTTTTCAACAATAAATGCATTTTGGTAATATAAAACTGTCAAGACATGATAGTGTTTTATTACAAACTGACTTTATACACAGAATAGCATAGTGGTGAAAGAGCAAAGGTTCTGTAGCTGGACTGGATGATTAGAATCCTGGCTCTGTTCCTTACCCCTTACCAGCTATGTGACTTTGGATATATTATTTAACCTGTCTCAGTCTCAGTTTCTTTATCGATAAACAGAGTTAGTTAATAGTATACATCTTATAACATCATTGCCTAATATAACTTTCTGTGATTTTGGAAATGTTCTCTGCAGTGATCAAATGGTAGCCACTAGCCTTATGTGACTGAACAGCTTAAATGTGACTAGGATCAACTAAGGAACTGAATGTATAACCTTATTCTATTTTAATTGATTTAAACATAAATAGTCCTATATGACTCATAGCTACTATCCTGGGAAGCACAGTTTTATAGGGTTGTAAGGATCACATGGGCTACACATTCAGATCAGTGTCTGGCACACAATAATCAATAAATATTCACTATTTATATTATCCACCATGCCATAGAAAATTGGTATGCAAGTGTGGGCTATAATTTTAACACTTTTCCTAAATCTTGTGGATAATTCTTTTTCCTACTATTTATATTTACTGGCTAATTCCCCTTCCAGCTGGCACTGGCTTCAGGAAACACCTGACTAGCCTACACACCAAGCCCTATCCACCATTCCTGGGCATAACACATGTGCTGCATGTTGAGTTTTTCTTAAGATTTTGCAGACTATTAAGAACACATTTGGTCCTGGTCTCCTTCAGATTCTACCACCACCATCACCCCTGACCCCCATCACACCCCCAATGTTTTTACTACTTTTACCAGAATCTTTCAAGTATTAAAGCATATTGATTTCCTATTGGGATAATTTGTAAGATGATTTGATTATTGTACTTGACATAACCAAATTGAGTCATTCTAAATCTTAAAACATCTCATCAGGCTTACAAAAAAACCTACTAAAATTATCATCACCTTGTTTTTTAATGAGGTTAGAATGAAGTTAGAAAGTTTGTCTTTTGATTCCTAGTATATACTAAAAGGCAACCACTCATGTTTTAGTACATATGTTATCATTGGAAAGGTTATAAGCTCTAATTAATAATAACGTGCATCTCTTTTTATATAGCAATACTATTGTATTTCCTAAACAGTCCCATGACATTAAATCAGTTGTTTCTAGCAGAAAGATTCCTAGAACAATATAAATTGATAAAGATTTCCTTCTCTTCCTACTGGAGAGGATATAGCTGAGAATATGAGAATGGCTGTCAGGAGAAATGAGAACTGAGGCTGGGCACAGTGGCTCATGCCTGTAATCCCAGCACTTTGGGAGGAGGTCGAGGAGGGCGGATCACCTGAGGTCAGGAGTTCAAGATGAGCCTGGCCAACATGGTGAAACCCCATCTCTACTAAAAATACAAAACTTAGGCGGCCATAGTGACATGCACCTGTAGTCCCGGCTACTTGGGAAGCTAAGGCAGGAGAATCACTTGAACCCAGAAAGCGGAGGCTGCAGAGCTGAGATCACGCCACTGCACTCTAGCCTGGGCAAGAGAATAAGACCCTGTCTCAAAAACAAAAACAACAACAACAACAACAAAAAAAACGGAAAGAAAGAAAGAAATGAGAACTGAAAGTCTGAATTCAGATATCTAAGAAACACACTAGACAGATATGGCCCTTACATTTATAATTTTATATTCTAAAATATGAAATATTGAGAAACAAGTTAAATAATCTGACATATCCCTCTACCCAATGAGGATGGCATAATAAATCAACTGGCCTCATGTAATACCAGAGAGAAGCTAAGGAATAAAGAAAAGAAGATAAAAAAATAATTAAAGCATCTATTTTCAGGTATATACTACTATCAAGTGTATAATAAATTGAATTATAAACTCAAAAAGGAAAAAAAGCAAGCCACTGCCCAGAAATAAAAGGGGCATATGGGGGTGGTGAGTGGATGGTTCTTTACTACTCTTTTAAAGGTAAAAGCATCCTGTTTTGTAATAAACTGTTTCTATCCTGGGATTCCCCTTGCTTTATTCTCTGGCATTCTTTTTCCCATTTTTAACAGTTAGAAACAATTTTAACTACAAGTAATGGAAACCTTGAGTTCTGTTACAAGGGATTTTTTTTTTTTTTGAGACAGAGTCTCACTCTGTCACCCAGGCTGGAGTGCAGTGCAGTGGCGCGATCTCGGCTCACTGCAACCGCCGCCTCCAGGGTTCAAGCGATTCTCCTGCCTTAGCCTCCCAAGTAGCTGGGACTACAGGCATGTGCCACCACACCTGGCTAATTTTTAATTTTTAGTACAGACAAGGTTTCACCATGTTGGCCAGGCTGGTCTCGAACTCCTGACCTCAGGTGATCGGCCCACCTCAGCCTCCCCCAGAGTGCTGGGATTACAGGCGTGAGCCACTGCTCCCGGCCAAGGAATTTTTTTTTTAGTAATTGGCAGTCCAGGAAAAGGGTGAGATTTAGATTTGATTCTGAGGTACAACAATAAAAAATTTGCATTCCACTGTGTCAATTTCATTCTAAGGCTTGATTGCCTTGTGATTATAAGGTAACTCTCAACTTTTTAAATAAGGGCCACCTACTTCCAGCCTGACAGTCTTTTCCTCACCAAAGAACCAAGCCCTTCCCCTCAGTCTGATTAGACCCAATTTAGGTCTTGTGTCCACCCCAGACCAATAACAGCTGCCAGGGAAAGGTCTTGCACTAACTGGCTTAGATTAGTCAGGATTAACCTCTGGAACTAGGGATGAGATTCACCTCCCCAATCACATGAACTATGGGAAAGGAAGTTCCCTGGACAAAACGAGAGTTTCAGTAAGAAAAAAAGTGAAATAGATGTGGAAAAGGTAATCAATAGACTGCACTTCTTTCTCACTCCTGACTGACCTGCTATCTAGTGTTAAATATTTTGACTGATTACTAATAGCATGCTTTACTGACCATAGCACTGCTTGTACATTTAGTGGTAAGTGGCTGCTGCTGTGGGGAAATGAATAATTTAAGTTAAGGATGCTACAGAAACTTTCTAGCTGAACCTAAGGCCATTATGAGCCAGAGTTATGCACACAGGTACGGTTGTCCAGCATAGTTGCTCACAGGTGTAGCAAAGCAAAAAATCTGAATAGTCAAAGCATGGTAGGTGTCTAATTTACTGCCCTTACTAAAGTTCAGGACCTGAATAGTGTGACACCCTACTGAATAAAAAGGCAAGGCAGGATCATTGAAATAAGGCCCTAGAAAGTGACCAGACCATTAGCATTGCAAAGATATTCATCATAGTAGGATCTTACAGGACAGGGCTATTTTGTTGAGGCAGTAAAGCAATGCAAGTAACCAATATAGAAAGTCCAAAAATGGAAAACAACAAACCCTTGAAGAATTAAGAATAGTGTTTATGTATCAGTATTCTTTCCATTGCACCACACTGTCTTTAGCAGAAGCCTAAAATTCTTCAGATGGCTTACACATGAAAGATCTTTCACTCCCAAATTCTTAGAATGGAAAGTAACATCTTTGTAATTTAGAAGACAAGGAAGAAAATGGAATCCTCTCAATTTCTGATATTGTCCAAGTTTTAGGCAAAAAGGAAAAAGAAAGAAAGGAAAAAGAAAGCAAAGTTTTACACAGGTTTCTAGCCAAGAGAGTTGAAGTTTTTGTTTCTACTGGGGAGAGCAGGTAGAGATGTATGTTAATAACACCTTTTCCTTTCTAACACTAGAAACAATTGAGTAGTCAATTCTACATGGTATAAAGAGATGCTCTGAGGACAATAGGAGAGTCACTTGTGTACTATTAGAATTCTTGAAGGGTCTACAGTTTTTGAAATAATTTGCAACAAGAGTACAGGATCAAGGTGTTTTCATGCATCTCCTTAGCTACATTCCAAAACAAAATTCATTTTCAATTTGGCAGAGTGGATTTGGGAGGACTGTGTTTTTGAGGGGAGTCTCAGAGTCGTGACCAGGGCAGTGGTCAATAACATATGCTTGTAGATGCAAAGACACAACTGAATCATGAAAGTGGCAAGAGTGTCATTTCTTCAACTTCGGCTTTTCTAGTTTGTAGTAAGTTAAAAAAAATACTGGAGTACAAAATTCACTTGTAAGTTATTTGGCATATCTGTATCTTTTGGTTGCATTGGTAATTTAAAAATAAGCAATATGCTATTTTTAGTATCTTAACTTCCCTACACATAAACTATTACAATTAAATCCTGTTTAGTTTTTTTTTTCCTAAGCAACTCTACTAAAATGACTGTTTAGTTTTTTCACCATCTCTACTTTACAATTTACTTCCTGTATTTTATATTTGGTTGTTCTTTCAGAACATGTCATGGGCAGTTTCAACAGATAGCACATGACACATATTCTTTCCAGATTTCTACGATTAATCCTGAATTTATTCCATTTCCATATGCAGAAAGTCTGAAATATTTTCCATTGACATTTCATAGGGATAGAGCTGTAGAGTTCTATCTCAATTTGCAATGGATTACTAGGAAAGGAGGTCCCTTATTATATGGACCATCATAAAAACCAAGACAAGAAACTAATAACCTATATTCTCTAAAAACCATGTGCATCACAAGATCATTAGGTATAAGCATTTCTAAGGCATGAGAGAATTAGCACTTCACAGCCACAAGCACGAGATGCCACATTCTATAATCATCTTTATTTCTCTCAACTGAGATGGAAACCTGCATCTCACTTAAGGATTTTAGAGCAAAAAGGATCAGGAATATTTATTTTGGCCCATATCCTTTTGCGTCTTTTTCTTTCTCCTGACGTTCTCTTATTAATCCAGCATTCTTATTTTTCAAAGAAAAGACTAGCTTGAATTTTTATCCCTTTGAAATGTATCTCACTGGACCCCTTATAAATCACTTCTTAACTGAAGTGAATTTTCATTTATTTTTAAATTTCTCAGTCCCTAAGGAGTGCCATATTCTTTATGTTACTTTAGTTAGAATTTTAAATTTTAATTTTGCCTAGAGTTGGAATTTCAGATAGCTTAAAAGCGTTTTCATTTTTTTTCTTTAAACAGTGGCCTGTAAGGTATACTTAGCCTTTTGAAAGAGAGATGCTTTTCTGAAAAATGCCTTACAATTTTCACATTCTTATAGACTTACATAATTTCAGGGCAGCTTTGTAACAACATTCAAATTGACAAGGGTTTCAAAACCTTTCATTTTAATGGTCTCGCCCAGACAATCTGCCATTTAAATTTCTGTAGGAGAAATACTGATATTTACAGAAACTTGTGGATCCTGACAACCTTGCTTAATTTATCTATTTGAAGTTGATTTTTACATGCTAGGTTTTACTAAGCAGAAAGCAAGAAAAAAATGAAGTTTTTAAAAGATTTAGACCAAAATACTATTATGCCATTTCGGTCTTCACTTAAGTAACTCTAAGACGGGATTTCTCAACCTCTGCATTACTGACATTTTGGGCTGGATAATTCTTTGTTGTAGGGGGCTGTCTTGTGCATAGTAGGATGTTTAGCAGCATCTCTGGTCTCCTCTATCCACTAGATGCCCATAGCACCCCTGCCTCACCCCTTCCTGACCCCACAACTTCTGACAACCAAAAAAAAATATCTCCAGACATAGCCAAATGCCCCTTGGGGTAGAGGAGAGGGAGATAAAATGGCCCTAGTTGAGAACCACTGCTGTTTATTTTGTGCATCATCAAAACTAAAGTTTCTACTACAGTAAGCCTCGGTGTTTATTTTTACAAAGGAGGCATATAGCAAGTAGAACCAAAATCTTATATGGTGGTGAAAACATATTTTAAAATATGATCAAATTGAAATTATAATTATAAATTACTCAGTTTCTGTGCAGCAAAGTCTGATTTCAACTGAACCTCAGCTACTTTCAAAGTTATTTCTCTGTAAAGGGCACCACTCACTTTTAGGTTCGTTTGCAACATTTTCTTCTTTTCTCTCTGAAGTTCTTTTCTGTAGGGATGGATATTTTCCCTTCTGTCTGATAAAGCAGCCGCGACGACACTACTCTTTCCTTTGCTCACTTCACACCTCTGCATAAAATTGCTTTCATGTTTAGCTATGGCAGAAGAAAGAGAACTAAGGGTGACTAGTTCCTTCTCCAAAGTAAATGCCATATTATCAATTAGGAAATTCTCACTTCCTGATTTTAGATTTTTGAGGAAACAGTTTATAGGGAGAATTCTGATGAGATTATGAAGGCACTGGAACATAACTGTTTGATTCCTAAAATAAAAAAACAAACAAAATATTACAAAAATTAGGACAGCACAAAGCAGTCATGTACAATATACTGCAGTAATCAATTAATATTCATTTATAAACACCATAATGATAAACAGAACCAATTATGTACGTGAGCATTGATAAAATTCAGACTACAGCAATCAAATATACATATTCCATATCGAATCAGTTAATATTAATCAGATTGTTTCCAATTAAAATTTTTTTTGCTGAGTAATAAGGTCAATATAATATTTTTTTAAATTTTACTGTGGAGGAGAGGTAACGGGAAATCTCAAAATAATTACTAGGCACTAAAAAAAGCCAAAAACAAATATAAAATTAAAACAGAGATCTTCAGTTTCTAAATGAAGCCGATGCGTTCATTCATGCTAGGCCATGGCTCTGTATTATTGCCATGGCAATAATACAAAACACATGCGGATCGCTGTTGAACCACACATTGATCACACTCATACACACTCACTTCTCTGGACCAATTACAATTTAATATGCATTACCTGGAATAGATTATTAAAATCCCTTCGAATGGTGTTCTCTGTTTCCAAGTGAAGAGTGTCCCATAGAAACTTCCCGGTCTTTCACAAAAGTACACTTCTGGAAATTCTTTGATTATTTCACATTTCATATGTTCTAAGAGCCACACCTTCATTGAATTCAGGGCATAGCCGGGTGATGTGATTTGAAAACAAGATTTATGGAATGCTGCAAGAAGTGCAAAAAGATCTTCCATGTGCTCTACAAAAAAAGTCACAAGCTCTATCATTAAACTCTGCCCATTATCAGATAAACAGAATTCTTAAAATTTTCTAATTCAATTAAATATATAATCTAAAAGTGCCAACAAAATTACCTATAGGTTTCTTCTTTGGAAATGTCAGTAGGTACTTCCCAGTTGAAAGATCTTCTAGACTTAAAAAAACTCTGCCACACACAACATAACGATCTTTAGGACAGTTACCACTTTCTCTCTCCATAATTTGTAGCAGTACAGTGCAACAAAATTTACTGAATGTTAAAAGTGGTGAAAGAGATGTTACAGCAGTAATTATCTGTACACACTCTTTCTTAGATGGGTGTTCACAAACAAAGCTTTCCTCTTTCTTGCTATCAGGGGTCAACGTGACCCTTTTTGCTTCCAATCCTATTTCACATGGCATCAAGTATGGTGCTGGGAAAGGATTTGTACTCAACTTAATCACCCTATTTTGACACTTTAGAAGCCGAAATCTGGAGTCATGGGCTTGATCCATTAACAATGATAAAGTCACATCATTCAGGGACCTGTAAAAAACCCAGACTTTGGTTTAATCTA
The DNA here is from genome assembly GCF_000001405.40 of Homo sapiens. Classification (NCBI taxonomy): domain Eukaryota; kingdom Metazoa; phylum Chordata; class Mammalia; order Primates; family Hominidae; genus Homo; species Homo sapiens. The sequence continues at coordinate 14,845,318 of NC_000023.11, forward strand.
AAAGCTCATTCTTTAAAATCAAATTGATGATTAAATGTCATACAAACAACAGTAAAAAATGTTTATTCTTTCCTTTCCTAGAAAACATCATTTCAAATGTAAAATATATCAAAAAGTTAAGAGTAAAAGCCAAACACATTTTTAAAGGTCCTGTGATAGCACTTCTCAAAAGGCAAGCAAAAACACTGTAACTATGCTAGGTTTTAGGAAAGTAAAATTTTTAAGATAGAGGAATGGTATTAGGAATGATAGTAAGAGAAATTAAAGTAAGACAAAAATTTTTTTAAGATAAAGGAATGGCAAAATAATGCCAGGATTTTATCTTTCAGGTTGGTCTTTTTTTTCTCCTCTTTTTAAACAAGAAAAAACCTCCTCATTATTTTTTAAGAGTTTATTTTGGTGATACGTTAGAATGCAAACAGCTCTAAACTAAAAATTGTATTTTTCGTTCCTCTAAACGACTTGAATAAAATCTTTTTCAGTCAGAATATTGTTCATCCCTCAGCAATTCTTTCCATATCTACATTTATAATAATTTACAAATATATACAGGCTTACTGTAGCACATTCCAGCATTGTCAAAGTTTATCAAGTAAAACAGGTAAGAATGGTGACATGACCAAAGAAAGAACTTGAATGTAGAAATTTAATACTGAAAACTCCTTTAATACAGGAATTTGACCATATGTCTAATGAGTTACACTAAAGATTTAAAAAGAACTCAAAAATCTTAATTTGCACTAATTGAACTATTGTTTTGTTGGGAATGCTGTTTTATGAACACTACATATATACTGTAGAGTAATTATGTAGTAGGTGCAACAGAGAATTGGGATTATCAATAGCGGAGACAGAAGATACAGAAAGAAGATACATCATGATGTTAAGTAAAAACCTTGAAGTTTTTACATCATGGTGATAAGTAAAAACCTGAAGTCCTTAATCTGAATTGGACGTATCAGCATGGACTTACCAAAACCACAACAGACCAAACTAACAAAACACATATTTCCTACCTCTGCTTACTAAAAAGGCCCAGAAACAACAACCCACTGAGGATAAATAAGCACCTCTTGCACTCAAATTCTGATTTCTAAATTACAAACTATACTTGAGGGTCTAACTAAATAATTGATGAGAAGAGGTTTCTCTTTATAGAAGTATTCCAGCTAATAAATAAAGAAGCAGTAATAGAATTAGAATACCACCATGTTATAAAATCTAATGAAACAATGGAACTAAGTAATGAGCATCAATAGCTGCTAATATCACAAAATGAAACTGATCACACTTTACATACCTCCCAGTGGAAGAAAACAATACTATTAAGTATTCTGTTAACAAAAATTCAGGCATTATTCTGACCCAGTCTCTAGATCTAACCATCAATTTAGAGGAAATACAGGAGACAGAGAAACATGTTAAGCAATATCACAGGAAGTAATCAGCAAAATCCAGTCTATAGAACTTCACAGGGTAAACTGCCTGGCTTCTATAAAATATACTTTGCATGAAAAAAAAAAAAGACAGAAAAAGGATACCTACAGATTACAAAGGACTTAGAGATAACAGTCAAGTCCAATTTACAGTCCTTATCTGGCTCACGATTTGAAAAAATATTTTTAAATTCAGAAATGGGAAATTTGACCATTTACTGGGGGAATTACTGATAATTTTGGGGGGGTAATTATATAAGTTCTTATTTTTTAGATACATACACTGGAATTGTTACAGATGAAATAATATAATGCCTTTGAGTGCTTCAAAATAATCTGGGGGATGGGGGTGAGGAGTGCATGGAGGTATAGATGAAACAAGATTAGCAATGAGTTGATAATTACTGGAGCAGAGTGACGGGCAGAAGAGTTCACCACACTATTCTCCTTGTATGTTTCAAATGTTCTATATATAAAAACATTTTTAAGTAATTCTATTTAGCATATGAAAAAAAGAAAAGACAGAAAATAGAGAATAAAAAATTACCAGGCAGATCTAAAAAAGAAAGAATAAAATTTATGATAATACAAATAATAATAAAACTTAGAAACTCAATGACTGGATTAAATAGCTGACTAGAAAGAACTGAAGATAAAATTAGTGAAAAGAATATAGATCAGAAGAAATTATCCAGGTGAATAGAAAATATGAAAGAGATGTTGAGACATAGAGTATGGAATGAGAAGATCTAACAGAGGACTAACTGAAGTTCCAGAAGGAGACAGATACTAGAGAAAGTAAGGAAGCATCAGTATCTTGAGAATTAAGAACTAAGAATTGTTTGAATTGCCAGAAGAAAACAAAACAGTTTGAGGAAGCTCAACAATCTAAAGGAGGAAAAAAAAAAAAAGAAATCTGCACTTAATCATGTCATTGTCAAATATTTAGAAAAAGAATAACAGAATACATCCAAATAAAGTAAAAGGAAATAATAAGGGATCAGAAATGAACAGGGAATACACAATTGAAGATCAACAAAAAATTTAATTATTTGAAAAGATCTAATAAAATGGATGAAACTCTGGCAAGATCAAGGAAAAAGAAGACACAAATAAGATTTGGAATAAAAAGACACTGACAAACACTAACAACACAGTGATAAATATCTAAAGAGGATCTTAGGAACAACTTATGCTAATAAATGTAATAATTAATAGAAAAATATAAGCAAAATGTATTCAAGAATAAATAAAAATGTGAATAATCCTGTAACTATTAAAGAAATTGAATCAGTAGTTAAAAGTCACCTCACAAAGAAATGCCAGATTTCTACTGCATTCCAGGCGACTACAACCAAATATCAAAGAGTAGGTAATTGTAGGGAGACCCCCTGAAACTATTGCTATGGAATAAAAGATGAAATGCTCCTGATTATTGTAAATACAAAATTGCATGCAGGATTGCATAAAGACAATGCCAGGTTGGACTGCCAGAACGAGCCAACAGCGCGTGATGTGCTTCCCCCTCCAGAGAGCCTATGAATGGACGTGCAGTCAGGGAGGTTTCACATCACCAAGATTCCTATCCCAGAAAAGCAGATGTTCATAGCTCTGGGAATGGAATGCGACCCTTGTAGAGAGCCTATAAATGGACGCACAGGGGGCGCCTGTCCATATGGATAAGATAGGGCTATAAACACCCTCATCTTGCCACGGCTCTTCTAGGCCTCTTTAGGGTTAAGGCATACTCCCTTCTGAGAATTTCTGGTCTAACCGGTTGTCTAGCTTCACGTCCTGTTTCCATGGATTGTTAGTAACCAGCTTTTGTTGCAATTGTTACTGCTGATTAATATCTTGCTAATCATAGGTTATCGAAAGATTGTGTTTCTGTTTTAAGGCTCTGTTAGAAATTACTGACACACACACTATATTGTAAATTCTTATCTCTGTATACTGTACTTCTACATACAAAAATGTACTGTACTTCTACATACAAATGTTATGTTAAAGAATTACTTCATCCCCACGTGACCATCTCACCTCATAATCAAACGACCCTAAATCCCTCACTAACCTACCCCCGCCCTCACTAACCTTAATAATAAATGCTGGTATATCCAGTGCATTGTTGGCAGTGTGGGACCAGAAAGCAGTGACCCCCCCGGACCCAGCTTTCACTATCTTGTGTGTGTGTGTTATTTCTCAACCTGCCGATCTGCCTAGGAACAAAGAGAGAGCCCCGTTGCATTGCGGGCTGCTGGCCAGATCCCGCAATAGGTAATTCCAAATTTACACAAACTGCTCCAGAGAACAGGAAAAAAGGAAATATTCCTCAATTCATTTATAAACTAGTATAGCCTTGATACTAAAATCAGGCAAGTATCATTCAAGAAAATTTCAAGCCAATTTCACTCATGAATTTAGATGCAAATATTCTTGACCAAAGGATAGCAAACCAAATCCAGTGACAAACTGTTTATCACAAGAATGCAAGACTGATTTTATAAGACAAAATTGATTAATATAGAGTACCACATTAAAGAAGAGAGAAGAAAAACCCAGATGATCAACCAGCCCAAAACAGCTTAGAAATTCACTGAAACAAAACAATAAATCCATATCTCAAACCCACTAGATAAGTAGTCTGGCTCCCTTACTGTGTTAAGCTGCTCAAATATACTGCCATCACCTATTACAAGGCACTACCTGGTTTCTCTGCGTACCCGTGGTTCAAATTCAATGTAGTTACTGTAATGCCTGTATTTAGCCTGTTTTGGCTAAAAAGCTCTTTGTTAGACTGCAGATATAGATGGCATGCACAATACTTCTCTATCCATGATTTCAACATCCCAAAAGAGAATATCGTCTGTTATCAGAGGGAGAGATACTTTGTTATTTAACGAAATTTTTACCTATTCACTTTGGTCAATAGTCTCTAAGTATCCCTAATACCTCTAAATATTTTGATTAGAAAGTTCTGTATGCTGTTTGATTATCTTCACCGTGAGACTATAGCATCTTAATTTCATAAACCTCATCCTCTTCATATTATTAACTCAATGCATTTGTGTAAAAGAGATACTTCTAGAGCTGTGCTGGCCAAGAGAGTAGCTATTAGATACATGTGGCTATTAAGCACTAGAAATGTGGCTAGTTGGAATTGTGATGTGTTATACATGTAAAATACACACCAAATTTTTAAAACTTTGTATGAAAAAATAAATGCAAAATATCTTATTAATAATTTTTATACTAATTACATGTTAAAATAATGTTTTGGATATATTGGGTTAAATAAAACATATCATTAAAATGGCCAGGCATGGTGGCTCATGCCTGTAGTCCCAGCATTTTGGGAGGCCAAGGTGGGTGGATCACTTGAGGTCAGGAGTTTGAGACCAACCTGGCCAACACGGCAAAACTCCGTGTCTACTAAAAATACAAAAACTAGCCGGGCATGATGGTGCGTGCCTGTAATCCCAGCTACTGGGGATGCTGAGGCATAAGAATTGCTTGATCCCAGGAGGTGGAGGTTGCAGTGAGCCGAGATCATCCCACTGCACTCCATCCTGGGCAACAGAGTGAGACTCTGTCTCAAAAAAAACAGTAATAATAATTTCCCTTGCTTCTATTTACATTTTTAAATATGGCCTCTAGAACATTTAAAATTGCACGTGGCTTACATTAATTTCTATTGGACAGTACTGTTCTGGAGCATCAAGACAGTGTTATCATGTTGGAATTTACTTACAGCTTCAAAGAAGATGTAGTTTTCACTCCAACAACCAAGCTATCATCTATTACACGATACCATATCTTCTCTACTAGCTGTTCTGAATCTTGAAAATTGTCTGATAACTTTTCATCTAAGATATGGACAGAATTTTCTTCTTCACCACAAAGAGGAACAAGACATTCCTTCTAAAAAAAAAAGTTTAAATAACTGATTATAAAATACGTACCGTCTGTAGCAAAACTAAAAAAAAAAAAAAGTTAAGTGTGCTTTTGGCTAGGGCTTATGGCCCAAACATTTAAAAACAAATAACATATCATATTATAGATTATACACAATTTACTAAAATGAAATGTATAAAATATATAAAATTCCCTATCTATTCAGATCAAGAGGCATGGCATGACTGGGGTATGGCAAGATGGGGTATCCAACAAAGAGCCAAAAGGGAGGTAAACCTGGAGTCCATTTTGAAAAAAAAAAGTCTGATAATATGTACCCCAGTTATACTGAAAATAATCCAGTCTGTATTTTATCAGTGACTTGCACTAAGCCTATAACTGTAAACTTTTGTATGAATAAAACTGATTAAACTATCTTTAGACTACTTATAGCTTATTGCTAAAATTTTATTCTTAAAGTCCAAGCCATATTCATTTCCACACACATGTGGATATATAACATTCGAAAGAGTAGTAATAAGAATAATAGTAACGATAATAATAATATACAACATCTATTGAGTGTTTACTTTATGCCAGGCACTGTTCCAAATGCCATTTGTGTATCAATTCATTTAACCCACACAATAACCCTAGTGCCCTAGGTCTGTGGTATTATCATCTACATTTTACAGATTAGAAAAATGAGGTACAGGGAAGTTATGTAACTTGCCCAGGGTCACACAGTTAGCAAGTAGCAAGGCTGGGATTTGAACTGAAGCCAACTCGTTCCAGAGCCCATGCTCTTCCTTAACTATTACCCTATACTGCCTCTCCATGTGGTAATTACTAAAGATAGAGGCATTCACTCAATAGGAGACTAAATATGTTCCCAGGAATCTGACACTACTGCCAGTAGCTGCGAGTTCTGAAGCAGGCTATTCATCTGAAACCTGGGGAAATTTTTACTACCTGCCGCCAGGTTTGCTTTTAAAACTAACAATGTAAAGAGCCAAAAATGGGGCCTTGCACATAGTGGTTTCAATATATTAATTTCTAAACAACCCTTCCCCTTTCTAAAATTGGCAAAATCATTGAGGTGAGGAAAGGAAATGGTGAAACAATTTTAACAATGACTTTCATGAGGTTTCCCAGGAAATTAGAACAGTAATATAGAAATGCAACACAATGTTTTTTTGTTACGTTTTATTACATTAACAAGATCATATTTTGGACCCAAACCCTTACATGGCTAAGACTGAAATACAAACACAAAGCATAGCCCATGACAAGAATGGTCAATCCAGAAGGAAGTCAGAGCTAGGCACTACAGTGACTTGAGGGAATAAAATGCAACATTAGTTCAGCTCTTACTGATTTACTATAGTGTTGCTGTGCTGTGCCTTTCTCTGTATGAAATTAATGTGCATAAATATTATTTTTATGAAGTTTCAGCAGTTTTTGCTAACTTCCTACATTAATGTACTGACATAAGTTACCACATAAGAGACCCAAGGAGGTTCTTTTTTTTTTTTTTTGAGACGGAGTTTCGCTCTTGTCACCCAGGCTGGAGTGCAATGGCGCGATCTCAGCTCACTGCAACCTCCGCCTCCCAGGTTCAAGTTATTCTCCTACCTCAACCTCCCAAGTAGCTGGGATTACAGGCACGAGCCACCATGCCCAGCTAATTTTTGTATTTTTAGTAGAGACAGGGTCTCACCATGTTGGCCAGGACTGTCTCAATCTCTTGACCTCGTGATCCGCCCGTCTCGGCCTCCCAAAGTGCTGGGATTACAGGCATGAGCCACCACGCCCGGCCCTGAGGAGGATCTTATGATGATCAGCCACAAGGAAAAAGAGAGTAAAATTATGAAAAGCAGATAGAAGGACTAAAAAAACCCATAGCAGTGTAGGAACATTTGCTAGAGGAAAAAATAACCTTAGAAACAAACAATCCAACAGACTAAAAGAACAATCATTATCCTAATAATAAAATTATCTCATCACCAATACAAAGTTAAATAATACTCAGTATATTCTATTTAAGTCAGTAAATACATAATTCACTTATGAGTAATTTCTATCCAAACAATACAAATAAAAAAGTTTAATGGTTAAATCTGTAAACAAAAGGACTTGTTCCCCAAGGTTCCTGATAACTGAAATTTTAATATGCTACAGAATTACCTATAAATTGATAAAATATTGGCTCCTTAATCAAATATTTTTCAATGTCATAAAAGTCCACCATTATAACCTCTGCTACTTTTCTTCTTGATCCACTGAGCAGCATTTTCTAATATATTCTAATATTCCAATTTAAATAACTTTTCAATAGCTTATAGATTTTCAATTCATAAAATGATAAAATGGTCACATGATTACTTTTACCTCCTCTGCACTTGACGTATTATCATCTTTTCCTTGAACTAGGTTTATTAAAGCTTTGTAAGATTTTGAAATAATTTTTTCCTTAAGCAACAGATGCTGCCGTAATTCCCGAAAAGAAGAAAAACAAACCTGTAAAGTAGAAAGAAAAATAGTGGCAAGAAACATGATTTCAAATGAAACCAGACATACCAATAATTCAGGAAATACTTTCTCCAAATGTGCTTATCAATTCATTTTTCTATAGAAAATAAAATACTTCTCAGAGCAAAACAGTTTTGTTTATAGATTTTAAGTCTCTAAGTTTAAAAAATGTATCTTCTTTCAAAAGAAAATATAAAAAATAACTGCAACATAGAGCTTATGTATCAAATTGAGAGAGTGGCAATATATTAGCATGTTTCACTAGTGAGTTATTAAGTAACTTCGAATCAATGTAAATAAAAATCAAGGCCTACAAATACACTCACCCCACACAAAATAACTTTTTCTTTTTGAAATAGTTTCTGCTTCAAAAACAAGGCATCCACATAAGCAAAGACAGCATAATGAATAGAAAATATCACTTTTAATCAGATACTGCTCGAAATTTTCTGTTCATGTAACCTTCATAGCAAAATTTTTAAATAAAATTAAAATTATAACAGCCCCCAAACTATGTTTATTTTTGTGCTAATAAACTCAGTGCTAGAGTCTACTGAAAACTACTGAAAAAAATAACAATTTGGCTCTGAACTGGGCATACAGCAATCCATTCCTTTTATGATACCAGATAACTAGATTTCAGCACTAAGGATAAAACATTCACAGAATATAGTTTGCTACTGAAAATTTAAAGAGTCATGTCATTGAACTGATAGAAGTTGTTTCATTTCAGGTGGATATCTGAGGCTGTTTAAGTATTCATCTGGCTTTTAATAAAACATATTTTTCTAGATTTATGCAACAAAATGCATCATTATTTGGGATTCTTTTCTTTTAAATTACATTTCAAAGCAAGTAAATTCTTTTTATTTTAATCAACAAATAGAAACTGGAGAGTGAAGACTGAATTATTCCTATATGTTACCTTATTGCACAAAGTATGTAAAGTGTCTAGCTAATATTTTAAAACTTCTTATGTTGACCTAGTTCTGTGGGATGCACATGATTCACACTCCATCACTCAGTAATTCGTGACAGGGGGAGGCAGATGTACCCATCAAAGGTATGTAGCCACAACTGAGCTACTGGAGGGGTGGGGAGTAGAAGAAAAAACTATGTGGGCAGATTGAAATGCACCCTCGAAAATTGTCAGTGTTCACTCTTCCTTCCTCCTTAACATGCCCCTTACTCCAGGACAATATAGTGATTGAGTAGAGTAGTTAAATAATCTTGGCTGTGAAGTTTTGCTATAAAACTACAAAAATAAATTAGACACATGGTAAGAAATTTAAACAATGTGAAAGTACACCTCACCTTCTCTTCCTAGATGCCCAATCCCGTTTGCAAAACCAATAGATTGTGTACCTTCCCAGAACTTTTCCATGTGCATATTAAGGAATGCTTTTTCCTTTGCACAAACAAAAACCCACCCAAAACCAAATACAGGAGCATATCGTACTGCACGACACTGAACCTTGCTTTTTTGTTCATTATTGTGATCTCTATCATACGTGCAGAAGAATGCACAGTACAAAATAACATTTTACAGACTAATAATGAAGCCGACACCCATGTAATTCCACTCAAATCAAAAAGTAGCATTCCAGGAGCTGCCCAGGGGCCCTCCACAATCATAATTGCCCTTTCTCCCCTGGAGTCAATACTACCCTGGCCTTTTAAGATAATTTCCTTGCCTGTCTTCAAATTTTACAACCTTTGTATGAATTCTTAAGGAGTATTTTAAGTTTTTTGTGTGTTTTGCTTCTGAACCTTTTATAAATGGAATCACTCTGCATGTATCAGGCTTTAGAGTTGCCCATGTTATCACTAGTAGCTGTAGTTCATTCCTTCCGTTGCTTTACAGTATTCCATCATATGACTACCCACGATTTACTTCTCCACTCTCCAATTGATGGGTATTTGGGTTATGCTCAGTTGTGCAGTGTTATAAACAATGCTGCTATGAACATCTGTGTACATGTGTACAAGATTCTCTAAGGTCCTGGTCTCCCCATCTCCCCTTCCAGTAACTGATTAGAATACAAATTTCAGGGGAGAAAGAACAGTGAAATGGACTCTAGTTCTAGCTCTGCAAGTCACGTAACCTTTCTGGCTATTTGTTACGTCATGTGCAAAATGGTGCAAAGGTAGGCTTGTTCATCTCTAAAAGGCCTTCCAGCATTTAGAACTTTATTACCTACATTGAAAGCTACTGTTAAAATATGGATACTTGAAACAAAATGGATATTCAACTATCTCTTATCCACCACCTCCATTCCTCCCTTCCTTCCCTTAATGTTGTTTAAAGCCTTTCATATTTTCCCTGTCTCTGTGCTACATTTTGGATAATTTTTCTCATATATTCGGGGTCACTAATTTGCTCTGTATCTCTTTCATCTCTTTAACTCTTAAAGTCATCTATTGAGTTTTTTATTTCAGTGTGTTTTTGCTTGAAAGAGATGCTGTTTGGTTATTTTCTGTGAATAATTACTCACGATGCCTTTTTTCTTTATGTGCTTAGTTATTCTGTGGACAGCTCATTTTCTTTGAAAAATTACTTGTGAGATTTATGAGGGCTAGGATGAATGTGTGTTTCCAGACAGGATTTTCTGTTTGTTTCTGTCAGATGCCTGGGGCACCACCAATTTAAGTTCAATACACATGCTCCCAGGGCAAAAGTAGCATCAGTGTTCTCCTTATCTCTCTGGGTTCCAGCCTTGAAAGTTTGATTTGATAATTTATTCTTAGAGTGTCAGCTTTTTGAAGCTTCTAAGAATGTTTTTAAAGGAGACTTCATCTATCATTTTCAGTTTTAATCAGGAGAGTTGGTCCTGCTTCATAAATTAAGCCTTTCATAAAGTCATGCTTTCATAAATTAAAGTACTTTGGCATCATTTCTAAATCAGTATAAAAATATACACTATTCTTTTTGACAGCTACATAGTATTCCATAGTTCAGGCACATCACAATTTACTTATCATACTCCTAATGATGTATGTTTAGATTTGGACCAATATTGTAGTTTATAAATACTACATAAACATTCTTGTAAAATCATCTTCATCCTTAGAAGAGATTTCTAGAAGTGAAACTGCAAGAGTAAAAAGACATAAGTAATTCATATTTTAGCAACTATAATAACTTTTCCTCTGAGAAGGTTGGGTCACTCACTATACATTCACAAAAATACTATAGAAGAATGTACTTTTATATTAAGAAAATTAATATTTTGTCAGGTATTACAATTTCTTTTTTCACAATTTGTCTTATTACATTTACTTTGTTCAGGGTACAAAAATTTTGAATAGATCAATGTCTTCATTCATGGTTCTGTCTGTTATGATGTTTATCTATTGTTCAAATTCATGTCTAATATGTGTTCAATAAGCATTTATTAAAGTGAACTCACTCTAATAATGAAATAGTTGCAAAATAATTTTAAAACAACCTGCAAAGTATAAATATTTACCACCTGGCCCTTTCCAGAAAAAGTTTTCCAACCCTAGGCAAAGAAGAAAAAGTTCAATAACACAGCAAGAAAAGAGACAAATCCAAAAGAGAGGATACAACTAGCGTGGCCTCCTCTTTAGCATAATTTTTAAAAGGGGGAAGGGGGAATTATTCTACATAAAAAGACCAATAAGAGATATAATCAAATGCGAGTAAAAACTTTGATAGATTGGATCCTGGAAAAAACAGTTATAAAAACATTTTTGTGATAACTAAATATATTTGAATATGGACAAGATAGCAAATAAGATTAAGGGATCATTAACAATTTTCTAACTTTGATAATGGTATTATAGTTGCATGAGGAGAATATCCTTATTTTTAGGAGATTCCTGCTGAAATACCTATGAGTGAAATATAACATGTGCAACTTTTAAATGGTTCTACAAAAATATATACACACATACACACACAAACACAAACACATGAGGCCAATAAGATTTTTAAAAGTAACAAGAATTGAATGTATTGGGGATACAGAGATAATCACTGTATTCCTGGAATGTTTCTGTATATTTGAAAATGCTATAAACAAAAAAGGCAGCTTACAAAAGAACATACATCTTATAATCACATTTCTATGTAATGCGTATATTCATTTAAAAATCTGCAAGAATATACAGGGCAAAGTGTTAAAATTGGTTATTGCAAAATAGTGGAATCACAGACAATCATTAGGTTTTTTTTATTTTGTTTTGTTTTGACATTTCTTTGCAAAGCCTCAGTATTTTACAGGGAATGTTCATTACCTTGGTACATTTGGGAAAAAAAATAAAAACTCTTTTGTGGAGCTTTTTATGGAAAATATGAGAGTAAACTGTTCATGTCTGGAATGCATTATGATTTATCATATTCGCTGCTACTCTAAAAAGATACTGTGGTATACTGATCCCAGAAAGAATGTGTTTTCAAAAGTGAGCTGCTTCTATTTTGTCTCATGAGGCTTATTAAATCTATATAGTCTTACTACAAAAAAGGTATGTTTAGATGATACATTTATAAGTAGTATCATAATATTTGTACAGAGGTGCCAAAAAGATAAAGATCCTTTGAAATACCATTTTTACCCAAGCACCAAGTTGCTTATACTTTAAGGACCTTTCTTTCAATGTTCTTTCCTTCATTTAGAATAACACTAATCGAAAAGCAAAAGAAGCAAACAGACACTAACTTTCAGTCCTGTTTCTAGAGGTGGAACCACCAGGTAACGATTCTCTTGTTTGTCTTCAAATAAGTCATCTTCATTGCAATCTGATGGTTCACTCTAATAAATAAATAAATAAATAAATACACTAAGACTGAAATTTTGCAACAATTGAAAATTCACAAAACTAACAAAATACAATTAAAGTATATCCAGTCAGAACAGTTTCCCTAGTGTGTATAAAATACACACTATTTTATAAAAGGCAAACTATAGGCCAGATGCAGTGGCTCACGCCTGTAATCCCAGCACTTTGGGAGGCCAAGGTGGGCAGATCACCTGAGGTCAGGAGTTCCAGACCAGCCTGCCCACAACATGGTGAAACCCTGTCTCTACTAAAAATACAAAAAATTAGCCAGGCATAGTGGCGCGCACCTGTAATCCCAGCTACTTGGGAGGCTGAGGCAGGAGAATCGTTTGAACCCAGGGGGCGGAGGTTGCAGTGAGCTGACATTGCACCACTGCACTCCAGCCTGGGCATGACAGAGCAAGACTCTGTCTCCAAAAAAAAAAAAATAAACAAAGGCAAACTATATATTTTCCCCATCATCTTCTTGTAACTAGAAAAAAATTATTATGATTCCTACTACTACCACCTAACATTTATATACTGCTTTACAAAGTATCAGCTGGTTAGCTTTCTTTTTAAAGAGTAAACATTTTTCCATTTATTTATTTAAGAGACAGTGTCTTGCTCTGACACCCAGGTTGAAGTGCAACATAATAATCATAGCTCACTGCAGCCTTGAATTCCTGGGCTCTCATTAGCTTTTTAAAAAATCCTAAAATCCCATAACTGGAGAAAATTAAAATTATGCTAATTTTACAAATGAAAAAACTGAGGCTTAGAGAGATTTTGTATTGATCTGAAACTTCAGGGGCATAATTTCCCTTATGTCCAATATCTCAAGATATTGTGAGCTGTTACTTCCTTTACTAAAGCAATTTTGCTTCATTTTATTCCTTATTTAATCCAATATTATATTTATTGGTATAAAATGTGATTTTCAGAAGCAAAAATAAAGTTAATTTATAGTACTGCTGTCACTTAAGTGACCACCAAATGTACTACAATTCAAATTTATATCAAAAGCATGGTCAATTTGTATAACATTTGTTGAAAGGAGATTCAATGTATATATTTAAAAGATTCAATCTATATATTTTTAAAGTTCAAAATTTTAAGTATAAAACCACCAATATTTAAATGATAGGTCAAAGCTTTTGAGCACTTAAATTTTCTAAAATGGTTCTTAAAATACCATATAATAAGTAAATAGAACTTACCGAATAGTTTATTTTTCCAAGATCCGTTATTTTAAATGAAGTCAGGCAGTCTGAGTTCAAGGAGTCCTTAAAAAGTAGGAGTACTTGTTCAGTTCCACTTCCAATAAAGTCATCTATCAGTACTAAGCTAAGTTTTTCCCATTTAGCAGCAACCTAAAAGAAAGGGAGCATTATAGGAGGAGTAGACAAGAAAAAATCGAATGTGAAATAAATAAATTAAGTCCTTTTGTTTCATGTAGTTGTCATTTGTAAAACTCAATCTTATAAATGAGTAATGAAAATAGTAAAAACTAAAATAAAATAAAGATATTAGGGGATGAGGAAATATAAGAGTTATAAAAACTTTATAAATAGCAAGGTACTTAGATTTAATATTTTATTCAGGTTTGTCCAGGGACTGTCACATTCTTGATTTCTATATCAAAATTTTATTGTAATCTATTTATAAGTTCTAACACTTTTCATGACTAACCTTTGGAAATTCTAACATTTATCATGAGTCAAACTCTAGTGAAGATTCCTTCTCTCGCACAGCTAATTTAAGGATGACCTTCATTCCCATTAAGTCTTAGTGTATATGTATTTATGATCAGACAAATTACCCAAGGAATTCAGTTGCATTCTGTTGCATACCTGACAGCTGCAGTACTGTCAGGTAACCAGACAGTACTAGTAGACACCTTAAGAGCTCTTAATGGAAAATAACCTATAATAGAGTCAAGATGAGCTTAAAACCTTAAACCCTGATGTGGGTGTGGAGGGGAATACAGCTAGTATCGGGTACACAGGTGAGGGGTCCTAAAAGTGGGACAGCCAGAACCATCCTAGCCTCACGGAATGATTTGGTCAGTTTATATCAGAACCTGAGACCTCAAGTTTAAAATAGAGGACAACTTCTTAATGGTACATATAGCTGAAAGCCTCAAGATTGGTCCCAGGGTAAACTAACACCATGAGGATCAAATCCCCCTTTTCCCTGAGACAAAAAATCTAAAACCCCTTCTCAGAATTCCAGCAGCACAGATACATCATCTAGATGATACAGGAAGGTAGCTCACATTAGAGCAAGAATGAAAGTAAGGCTCTTCAACCCACATACCCAAATATGAATCTTCCCCTATAAGGCTAATTGCCAAAGTTGATTCTTCACTTGTGCAGAGAGACAGCTTTTCTGTAAACCCATATCCTCCCTTTCTCCCACCAGTATCATGGAGTATAATGGACTATGGGAAAAGACATTAGTAATAAGAATGTGTTTGGCAGGCAAACAGCACAGAACTATGTATGTATGCATGTGTACACACACATATTTGCAATCTATAGCTCTAGAATAGTGCCATCCAATAGAAAGGTAAGTGAGCCCCAAATATAAGGCATATAATTTTAAATTTTCTGGTAGCAGTAAAAAGATGAAATTTTAATATATCTAACACAATATATCTAAAATATTGTCATTTTAATTCAATGTAATCATTAAAAAATTAAGAGATGTTACCATTTCTATTCATCTTTGAAATTTGATGGTTGACATTTACAACATGTTTTAATTCAGACTAGCCACATTTCAAAAGTTGAATAACTACATCTGGATAGTAGCTACCATATCAGACAGCACAGCACCAGAATACATTAACCTCTATCAACAACACACCAATAGCTATGCTTCAGGTATACTTGACAATGACCTCAATTTTATTGACAGATGGATTTTTTTTTTTTGAGACAGGGTCCCATTCCGTTGCCCTGGCTGGAGTGCAGTGGCACAATTACAGCTCACTACAGCCTTGAACTCCTGGGCTCTAACAATCTTCCCACCTCGGCCTCCCAAGTAGCTGGGACTACAGGCATATGCCACCACGCCCAGCTAATTTTTTAATTTTTTGTACAGATGGGGGTCTCACTATGTTGCCCAGGCCGGTCTCAAACTCTAGGTCTCAAGCAATTCTCCTACCTTGGCCTCCCAAAGCACTGGGATTACAAACGTGGGCCACTACACCCGGCCAATGACCTCAATTTTGAAATGCCTGCCACATAGATTCTTGTCAAAACTTGCAGAGACAATTCCTACCCAAGAGAGAAAGCCTAAGAAGAAAAAAGTTAATCATGTATTCCTTTAGATTCAGCTCTGTTTCAAGTCCTATTACCACATTAAACATCATGCCTCGGGCTTTTATGAAGTGTTGATCTGGGAAAACACTAACCTTGTTTTCATTATTTACTCTAATTTATGCTTGTTTGTATTTTACCTATCTTTGTAAGCTGGCTTAATTCCTTCTTGGAATGAGGTAATAAAAGAATAGATGGATGGATGGATCCATAGCCAACCCAAAGGAAAACTGCTTCTATTGCTTTCTATTTTGGGGGAAAACTGCTATCAAAGACCCACCTTATTATTTAATAAGGTATTCACCTTATTACTCAAAACCTTTTACAAAATACCACAAACAGTAAATTCTTCTCAGAACTTAATGTTAGAAAAAAATCTTTTCCCTTGTAGTATGTTCCCTTCAGTTGTAAAACCCATCATATTTACTTTTTTGCCTTAACTGTTAAAACTAAAGGTAATTGTTCAAGTGTAGTTACTTCTCTTAACCTGAGTTTTTGGCATAATTATTTCTACTCCCACTTTATTTCTAGATTCTTAGCTCTTATTTCTGTTTTTTTAAATTAATTTTTTTTTTTGCAGACAGATCTTGCTCTGTCAACCAGCTGGAGTGCAGCGGGGCGATCTCAGCTCACTGCAACCTCCACCTCCCAGGTTCAAGCCATTCTCATGCCTCAGCCTCCTGAGTAGCTGGGACTACAGGCATGCGCCATGTTGGCCAAGCTGCTCTTGAACTCCTGGCTTCAAGTGATCTGCCTGCCTCGGCAGTCTGAAATGCTGGGATTACAGGCATGAGCCATTGTGCCCAGCCTTATTTCTGTTTTTAAAGTAACTGAATATTTTACCCTAAACTAATATTTCCCTTTTTTTTTTTTAAGAAGTTGAGTATAAATGTAACACCAAGATAGAAGCAGGACCTGAATACGCCCAAAGTGGCAGGGTTAGAGGCAACTTTGAAGCACTTACTTGTAGATATCAGGGTGAATTCCAGAGCTTTTAAAACAGGGCATTTGAGAGCAGGTTAGAAGTACAGAATTCCTGAAGCACCTTAGGGGGTAAGTCAGTAGGGACTTAGGTAAGTAACGTGTGGAAAAGATAGTGGTCCATTGTAGAGAGAGTGCACTAGAATACAACTTCGGGTCAGGGAAGCAGCAATTATAGGTCCACCTACAGGGAATGATGCAGTCTCCTGCCTTGGGTAACATGTTAGTGGCAAAGCTTTACAGGGTCCAAGCAGGGGACCCACTTCAAGAGAGTGACGATTGCAATTAATGACACATAAAGGAATTGTTTTTTCCTTATCTAGGTGAATAGGGGATCTTGAGTAAGTGTAAGTAACTGATGACAGCCCTGGCTTTTGTCTAACAGTAATATAACAGAGTAATAGCTACTACTAACTGAGTTCCTCCTATGTGTCAAGCTCTGTGCAAGACACTTTACAATGTCATTTGACTTAATTCTCCCCTCTCAGAGTCAGAATGATCCCAAATTTCATAAAGGAGGAAAATGAGTTCACAAGAATTACATTCCTTAAGGTAACACTGGTAAGTGGCTCAGTTGGGATTCAAACCCAGGGTACGTGTGTTCTTTCTATTATATTACCTTGACTACAGTAAAACACTATAGGGTATACCAGATGTTTTTCCCCTACCATTTCTTTAAAGGAAAAGAGAATGGAAAAAGACAATTCCAAATAACTTTCAAATAAATGTATAATGCGCTTTTAAAAGATTGCTTTCAAGATAAAATAGGATAGCTTTCAAATTATTTTCCTTTTGCATTCTCTATGTATTATAGAGGATACATACGTATTACAGAAATTCAAAATAATCCCTATTAATATAAAAGTACTTGGTAAGGCAAAGCCTGATTCATAATTCCAACTTGACATTCCTCCCCCCACACAAACAATAATGATTCACATTTAAAAATGAATTTCAAACTTTCTAAAACATTTAACAATATTCCACATAGAGGTGATAATATAATGATAAAAATTTTCATTGAGCTTCTAATTAAATGGATAGGGCACACAAAATAAGGCAATATCTGCTTTTCTCTCCTAAGTAGCACAAAAACTAAAGTTGTATAGTGTACTACTTTTGGAAGAGACATTTCTAACTAGTAATGATAATTTGTCTTAATTCATAAACACTTCAAATCACATAACTGAATACATTTTCAACCAGGAGGATGCAACATTACCCAAAAATACAGAGTCAGAGAAATATTATTGGTGGAGACACCCAGTTACAAAACTCTAATTTCCTATTGGTTTTCTGTGCCTTTTTACCTGTTACTTAACACTCAATACCAGTGAATATTTTAGAACAATTTCCAAACTTAAAAAAGTGAATACTTGCTCAAAGGTCAGTTCTGCATTTCAAAATATAACATAATAAAAATCTCTGAGTAAGTTTTTAGAAAAAGTAATGCTTACCACTTGTCTATGGAGAACAATTATTTGTCTCTCCAGATTTCAAGGAATTTCTCTATATTTCACTTTCAGAAATGAATCAGAGACAACAAGTAAATTTAAATAGATAATTATAAATGTTTAAAAAGTTGGCCGGGCATGGTGACTCACGCCTGTAATCCCAGCACTTTGGGAGGCCGAGGCAGGCGGACCACTTGAAGCCAGGAGTTTGAAACCAGCCTGGCCAACATGGTAAAACCCCATCTCTACTAAAAATATAAAAATTAGCCAGGTGTGGTAGCACATGCCTGTAATCCCAGCTACTCGGGAGGCTGAGGCAGGAGAACCGCTTGAACCTGGGAGGTAGAGGCTGCAGTGAGCCGAGATCACGCCACTGCACTCCAACCTGGATGACAAAGCGAGACTCTGTCTCAAAAAAAATATAAAAAAATAAAAATAAAAAGATGAAAAACTGATTTGAATTTTCCAGGAAGGCTTATCTATCTAGTCAAATCACTAATAATCTTATTGTAAGTGAAAATGCACATCTACTATCATATTAATAAAAATTAGAAAGTTATAATAGAAAAATAAATACATAATTCTAGTTACATATGTATTTACACATTTCCAAACAACTCAAAGGCTTTATGACTCAAAATGGCAAGACAAAAAAAACACCATCAGGTTGTACTCAGATAACCTTAAGAAAAAAGAACAATGTAATATTTATCATTTCATGTACAGAACTGAAAATTGACTTAGACAATAAGACTCCAGAATGAACTCTATGAACTATACAAATGTTTAAAAGGTCTGAGACCACCAACTGAATTATTATTACAATAAGTGTTGTACCTGAAAGCTCTCTTTCCATACAGCACAAGCATTATTGGATATAAAGGATACAACGAAAAAGAGGTTTCCTCCACCTGAATCCATAAGTTGAACTGCACAAGGATCTCCAAATGGAAGCTGGCACACATTTTTAGGAGTTCCATTCTGAAATGAAATCAGCTGATTCTTTCGAGTAAGGGCAATGAGAGATATTCTTAACTG